>NC_000006.12:4756969-4908484 GCF_000001405.40 Homo sapiens | reverse complement strand
GCTGAGCAAACTACAGTGAAATTAGATACTTCCTTAAGCAAATTTCTAAAACAAACCTCCAGCTTCAGCCCAGATCAGTGTTTCTCAAACTAGGGCCCAAGGACATACCACCTATCCATCTATGAAACACCAATGCCTAAATCCTGTGCTCGCACCCTCTGATCATCTACACGGCCTGGATGGCCTGCCCGGTTCCGGACCCTTTCCCATCAGGTTAACCAGGTGCTGCCAAGGATCACCCATAGCTATGGTTCTGAATGGCTCCCAGGACAATCACTGAGGGACCACACCCATCTCTGCAAGGGAATGCCTGGGTACTTACAAAGCTGCCAGGAGAAACAAGAACTTGTCATGCAGTGTTCCTCTAACTAGGGTGCTAGAATTTTCCATGTGTTTGGCATTTCAGGGGTCCACACCAAGTACATTGAGGAATGACAGCCCATGAGCCCCCTGACAGCAAGGAGGGGCTTTTATGTGTCTCTTTCCTTATGGGCACCAAGTGGGGTGGTAGAGAACACGGAGCTCAAGGGGGGCCAAACTGTGGAACTGATGGTTCTGTCTAACAGAGACGTTTAGGACATGCTGAAGAGCAAAGGATCAAGGGAGAGCATCTAACTGAACACACCATGTTCTAGAGGAGGGCAAAAGCTACTCAAAATCCAAGACAGGAAGCTGACCTCACCATAACAGCAACCTAAAAGCCACAATGTGCTAAGTTTTATAAATACAGTAACAAAAACTATATAGTAATTTTGAAATCCGGTTTTGCGATCAGTTTTGAGCATCCGAGAATACTTAAAAACCGTATTAGAGGCTGGACATGGTGGCTCATGCCTATTACAGGCACTTTGGGAGGCTGATGCTGGAAGATTGCTTGAGCTCAGGAGTTCAAGACTAGCCTGGGCAAAACCCCATCTTTTGTAGAGATGGTGAAACCCCATCCCTACAAAAAATACAAAAATTAGTGAGGCGTGGTGGTGCACGCCTGCAGTCCCGGCTACTTGGAAAGCTGAGGTGGATCACCTGAGCCTGGGAGGGGGAGACGGCAGTGAGCTGAGATGGCACCAGCCACTGTACTCCAGCCTGGATGAGACGGAGCCGGACCCTGTCTCAGAAAAAAAGAAAACACACAAAAACCCACAAAAAAGCTGTATTAGAGCAAAACTCTGACAGTCAGCTTTTCTTCCAATCCTTCCATAACTCATGGAAATGCAGGCTAAAACTGCAGCAGGGTGGTCTGTTTTCCCCCCATCTCCCCTTTCTGTAGGAGGACAACCTGGTAACCCACTGGCCCTACAGTGATCCAGCTCTTGGGGTGCACCCCTGACTCACTTGAGCTCAGAGTAGCAGCAGTTTCTAATGTTACACAGTAATGTGCAACTCTGAAGATTGTGGCGAGGTGCCACCCCAGGCTGTCACAGCGTTACACAGACTCTATAATCAAGAAAACCCAGTGTGGAACTGCTTATTACATGCACATGAGAAAACCCCTTGTGAAAACTGGGAAATGCACACATTAGACTGCACAATATACATTCCTAAATGGCAAATTTCTGTAAACAGTGATTAATAGAACACAATACATTTAGTTTAGACCACTCACTGAGAACATATTAACAGAAAAAATGGCACGTGGAAGACTTTGCAAGTAGAAATTTTACTAGGGCAACCTCCTTCTCCCCCAGATAAAACGAAACCAAACCAAAACTCAGACTGAGTCTATTTTTACACCACTCTTCCTCTTGGTTTGCTGTTATAAAGCTGTGACAATTTTGATAGCTGCCATAGTTTTAGAATTTTTGTCCCATCAGATAAGGTTTATCTGAAAAACCAAAGCACAGAAGTTAAACTTATGCTTACTTTCCCTTTGAAGTCCATAATAAAAGAGTGGTTCAAATCACGGAAATCAGAAGCAACCGATACACTCTGTACGCAATGTCATGCCTTCCAAGGCTGGTCTGGGCTGTGTGGTCCTGTTCTTTTTCTCCTGTGGCCTTCACGCTTGTACTGTCATGAAGCAGGTACAGAGGCAGCCGCACTCCCAGAGAAGGGTCAGAAGCTGGCAATCCAGCAATTAAACAGTGTGATCTTCCGCACTCACCTAGCTGATAATGCTCACGTTATGCTCTCATGGTATTCCTATACAATTCTTATGTTACTTCACCTTTAGAGGTAATGCCAAGCATGGGAAACAGCTACCAAACTTTGCTGAAAGTGTCATGCAAGAAAATGCTACAATTACAATGTGAACATGGAATACATAATTTAAAACTACATTAGCAAGATGAAAAATAATCTCCATCCGGTTTTCCATTCAATAAAAGTCATATCATCCGCCCATGGGAGAGGCAGACTTTCTCTTACCAGATAAAATGTACAACCCTCTCACCATTAGCAGTGTAGTAATTAAAGCTGTAGACACTCCTCCTTAGAGACCACGTCATCTTACCATTTGATTTTACAATTTTACTAGGAGGAAGTTACTTCTTTCAAGGCTTAAATCACTGTAGAAACAATTCCCACAATTACTGTTGACAGTAGAAAGGTCCTATGTAAGAAATTACTCAATTGGTGAAATGTATGTTTATGTGGGTGAGGGATCCCCTAAAAGCCCTGACTTGATCCCTATGCAATCTATGCATGTTACAAATGTGCACTTGTACCCCATACATTTAAACAAATGAAAAATAAATAAAATAAAAAGGGGAACAAATAAAACTAAAAAAAATGAAAAAGAAGAGGTCCTACAAAAATGGAGGCAAAGACTTGACATAAGAGGCGTGCAGCATGCAGAAAGCCAGTGCTGGGGGCGAGTGGCTCCCAGCCACTAAACATGGCCCTTCGGCTCTGACCCAGGCAGTCAACGGCTTCACTGGTGTAATTCTCAAACATGAATTTTATGACTGATTTCCCCTTTCACTACTTCAAACTCAGCAGTTCATCCTCTCCCACCGACTGCTTCTAAATATCCCCCCACTGCCCCTGCGGAATTAAGCATGCCACTTCAGAAAAGACGCTGAAATGTGGCCTGCCTTTGTCACAGAATACATTTCTCACAATCAGCTGAGCAGCTGAGGAGACAGTTCAGGTCTGTCTCGTGGGAGGAGAGGCAGGCACCCACAGGCACATCGTGTCCGAAGGCTCAGGTCAACCCCGCTAAGTTGGTTGACGGAGTGTCAAAGACCAATGAACACAGTCCTTTAGACCAACGAGAATTCCTGAGTGGGTTTAACATTCCTATTCAGGCTGGAGAGGGTTGAAGAGAACAGCAAGCCATGCGCAAACTCACTTGTGTCAGCATCCTAGTCACGTAAACCCAGGTTCAGTAAGACGGACACACGGTCACTGTGACAGCCAGGTTACTACTGGGCTGGCTTTGTTTATCCAACGTGGACTTCTCTGACTTCAGCAGTTCAGATCACGCTAGGGGTAGAGCACTGGGCCGTCTGGGGCAGTGGTCGCCATCCTAATGCTGTCTCTGAGATCAGCAGCTCACATAGGGACGGCCGATCACACAGGCACTGCGGAGGTGTTCTTGTGATTAAACACCTCCATTTCAGTGCATGGACTCTGTGATAATTATTTCTCAGCTGGAGGTCGGGGTGGGGATGAGGGGGACACAGTGCACAGCTGTAGTCTAAGTGGCTAACACGGGTCCTAAGTACAACCTGTAGCTGTACGATGAGGCCCAAAGCCGTTTACAGCTTTTCTCCTGGCAACACGCTCCCTCTCCTTACTGCACAGACATAAATAAGAACTTAAACTGCAGACAGAAATGAGAGATGACTATGACTGAGGTAACTGGGCTGAAAGTATATTTGAGAACCTAGTGTGTTCCCATTAAAAAAAGTTCTTTTTAAGCACAAACAAGTCTTAAATAATAAAGTAGGGAGGACAGACCAGATGTTATCATAAATAAACCTGATTGTGAAATGTTATCTTCCCAAAAGCCAGGGCAGGGAGGGGCGCAGTGAATGGAAGAATTGAGCATCAAATCCACTTGCTCGGAAGAGCAAATACATCGTCCAGAAAATAACCTGCAGTAACAAACACTTTGGAGATAAGCTTTAAAATGTTTTCTTAATATTTCCTATTAAGGATGCCTTGGCAGATGCCATTTATGATCCTAGACTGAGAGCCAATTACATCAGGTCCATATCACTGGAGGAGATGGGTATTCACTATATCGGGGTAATTACTTTTTAAAAAGAGACAGTTTATCTCATTCATTCGGTGTCATCACTCCACGAGAAGCAGGGCTGTACAAGGATCAGTTTAGTATAATCTTCTTAACAATAGTCTGGCATCTGCCCTTGCCTTAGGGAGCACTACCCACAACGGCAGGGCTGAACTTTCAACACTGCGAGGGGCCCGGCCTCTGGTCTGCAGACAGCGTGGCATGGCTCTGTCAACCACAATGCTTTTCAAACAGACCCTATCATCAGAAACGAGGGCTCTTTCTTGAATATCCATTCTGCCAGGCTCTGAGCTCCTGGAAGTCAGGGGCTCTGCAATGCCAAGCTCCAGTCACACCTGCCTGCCATGTGGTACATGGCAACGTGCCTATGAAGAGGCATGGAGCTTCCAGAAACTCTCCCAGGCAGACGGCTGATGGGTGTATGGCATGGGACATAGAGTGAATCCGAAACTAAAAGCAAGCTTTAAAAAGATGCCTCAAAACCTGAGGAAAATGTGTTTCAGGAACTCAGAAGCCACGGAAGATACTCAGGAGCCAGCAACTGTGTGGACACCAAGTAACATGAATCAAGTAAAGCAGACTCCAGCTGCAGGGGCCGAGCACACAAAGCGGGAGAGGGGAGGTGAGCCTGGGGCTCCACTGGGGCCAGAGACTGCTGGTGAGAAAGGACACAGAAGCTGTCTCCTCCCTCCGGCACCCAAGCCCTGGCAAGCCACCGTGTGCATCGTGTGGGTTCTTTTATTATTTCACTTGTTGTTGAAGTTCAATGAACCCTTTAAGTAGATTTTGCTCAGATAAAACAATATAATTTTCAATAAAATGCTAATTATCAAAAGACATTTAAGATGAACCATCACGGAAGAAAATGCTTTCATCCACTCCACAGTTTAGTGGCCGCCTACCATGTGGCAGGTAGTAGAAAAACTAGGACGAAATGTCTTGGTTCTTACTCTCAAGAAGTTCCCTTGAGCACTGGGATGCAGCTGTGAAGAGGAATATATTGACTTCACTTAAAAGGACATGTGCACGTACAGCAGGGACATGGCGCAGGAGCACAGGCCTGCTGACTCGTCTGATTTGGAGGACGTCCCCTAAGTGCTTAGGGCGGCAGGAGTGTAGGAGTGCCTCTTGGTGCCTTGGTAATTTGTCCCGACTACCCTAACAAACCATTCCTTTTACTCTTCTTTTTAAAAGACAAACACTAATAACGGAAGCAGAAGGGATAAAAATTCCTCCAACAACTCACTCATGTACACGCAAATGTTAATGAAGCCCCTAATGTGTGTAAACAATTGGACTAGGCAATGTAGGAGATTCTAAAGACCACTGAAATATCTGCACAACACTTCCATTTTACCATTTAAAGTTTAAGTGAATTTGTCCATCTACTCTGGATCTTTCCCTGGATATTTTAAAAACATCCGATTTTATTTTTTCAGACTGTTCTAGGGAATCGGCTCCCATCCATCCAATCTAAGTACTCAAGCCACGTTAGTTAAACCTTCTGCACCCAAGGCAAAAGAGCCTTGGAGAATTGGACTCCCTGGCACCTTCTCCAAGGGGATCCTCATAAACAGTCCATTTGTGTAATTAATGTGACTGATGTGTAAAAGGTGAGATATCAAATTAAAAAGGAGATAAATGCAGTGCCTAGCTCCCAAAGATAGGACTAGAAAAGGAGGAAGAACACCTATTCAAAAAGAGGAAGTACAGAGCTGGGCACAGCTCAGTCTCCTGGTGAGCAGCATCTTGGGCACAGCTGCATTGGGAGGATGACTGTGTACTGTTTCAGAGGGCCACCCAAACGCTGGAACATGACATTAATTCAAAGTATGATTGTCCAGGCTTGCTCAGTACCTACTGTCTTTTTTTTTTTTTTTTTGAGATGGAGCTTCACTCGTTGCCCAGACTGGAGTGCAATGGTGCGATCTTGGCTCACTGCAACCTCTGCCTCCCGGGTTCAAGCGATTCTCCTGCCTTGGCCTCCCGAGTAGCTGGGTTTACAGGCATGCGCCACCACGCCCGGCTAATTTTGTATTTTTTTTTTTTTAGTAGAGACAGGGTTTTTCCATGTTGGTTAGGCCGGTCTCGAACTCCAGACTTCAGTTGATCCACTCACCTTGGCCTCCCAAAGTGTTGGGATTACAGGTGTGAGCCACTGCACCCGGCCTCTATTGCCATTTCTATTGTTACTAGCCCTGGCTTTCCCCTGGGGTATCCTCTCATCCCCTTCCTTCTAGGTTACAGAGTTTAGATGAAGTTGACCTCACCCCTTGAAACGTAGGAGGAAGAGAAGCCCCTTTTCTGTCTGGTCAGCTGAGAGGTCAGGGTGGCAGCCCAGAGCTGCGGGGGCACCTTGCTTCCATGCGGGAAGGATGGCCTGACTGAAAAAGTGGAGGCTGGGGGTGGGGTGGGGTATGAGAATGATGGTAACTTCAGGCCACAGATCCAGCTGTGCCTGGATTTCAGTTTCATGAGCCAACAGATGCCATTTCATTTGCTTGTATGTTTAAGCCACTGTGGGTTCAGTTTCACTCACTTGACACAGAAGCGAAAGTCTTGAGTAATACTGTGTACTTAATAAAATCAATTACGCTTATAAAAAATTCACTTATCAGTGTGACACAGTACAAAGAACTAAATGGAAGTCAGGAGTAGGTTCTAACGTAGAGTCTAGTTTCCCACCAATTCTGCTAGTGATTTGATCAAATCACTCTCTTTCACAAGCGGCCTCTTCTGTAAAACAAGGATTCTCTGAAAGAGGAAGATGAATGTTGGAGGAACTTAAGACAGAACAAAGGCACCAGAATAGCATGCTCGGAAGAGGCTAGAGAGCCTGTACCCTGTGTATATATAGCTGCTCCCAACCTTAAGGTACAGCATGCCACTGGAGGAATATTCCAGAAGGCCAGTACCTGACTGCAGCAAAAACAATGCTAACGGGAATAGAGGAGACAAGGAGGATTTGTAACAGGGCTTAATTCCTAGTAGCACATGCAGCGACAAGAGCAAATTTAATCTGAAAATGTGATTTCCCCCCCTTTGTCCTTGTATCAGTTAAAGTTCAAAAGGAGCAAGAACTATAGTTAGAAATATTCCTTTTATGTCATCTGACCTAAGAAATCTAAATTTCTTTTAAATTGTACTTCATATAAGCCCAAAGTAATGAAATATACTTTGGTATATTCAAAACTGAGCAGGAACCATAAAATTAATGCACATTAATTGGAAGTTTTCTAGTCCCTTAAGGCAGGGCCTAGATAGTCCTACCTCACCCCTGAGTGGGGTGGGGAGGACCCTGAATCATGGACCTCTTTTTAGGCACTCTCTTTACAAGCATGCACGCCACAGCTCAAACATGCAGAGAAGATCAGTGTAGTCCCTGGGCAAAGACAGGTACATTCACGAAATGTTCACATTTTGGAAGTTAAACCACCCAAAAGAAAAACAGGCAAGATATATATATATATATATATATATATATATATATATATATATATATATATACACACGTATACGGAATTAACAGAAGAATGAATGCAAACAGTCAATTAACTTGCAAAAACAGTTTTCCTGTTTTAAAATTAAAACAATGAGATAGCAATTTCTCATCTGCCAGACACTGAAAAATAGATTAAAATGTTGGTTAAGAATAGGTAAATATGTACTCACAATCTTTTCAGCTTTTTTAGAGAGCAATTTGGCAACATCTATTAAAATTTTAAATCAATTACAGGCCTTGTGTTTTATCGTTTACAATAGCAAGTTGCCGACTAACTCTCAAATAGTGTAAAATGTATCCTCGAATAGGAAAAAAATGTATATGCATATGTGTATGTGTGTATAAACATATATGGGGGAGAAAGAGGAGAGGGAAAGTAAATGAGGCAAAATGTAAACAATTGGTGAATCTGGGTAAGGGATACTATATGGGTATTTCTTGTACTGGTCTTGCAACTTGTAAGTTTGAAATCATATTTATATAAAGTTTAAAACATAAAAAGAAATAATTTGAGTCTTAAAATAGAGAGTTCTCCAAGACATGATGTTAAATAAAAAGAGCAAATGCTAAGAACAAATTACGTAGTATGATCTCATATAAAAGAATATAAATTCATAGAAAAAGATAGAAATGACACACATCAAACTACTGATGTTCTCTCTGGGGAATTTGGTATTCAGAGGGGGAGGTAACAGTGAACTCATATTTTGCTCAAAGTACTTCTAAATTACTTGTGCAAAAATGTATGACATTTACACATTCTGTTTACAACAGGATGTGTGTTAACATTTCTGGAGCTGTGACATCAATAAACTTCATTTGCAGGGAAAAAACTCTCAAAGTCTGCAGCAGGGACTCTCAGAATAAGAAGGAAAACACTCCTTGAGAAACCTTGGTTCCCTATCCAGAGTGAGATGGTCACGGGACTCCACACAGCTCACACGTGACTCTTCCCCTCGGGATATGGCTGCTGAAGAGCTGGCAGGGTTCGTTCCCTAAACTTCTGACGGGAATCAGAATATGCAATTCTAAAATATGCCACTTTTGAATACGGATTATTTTTAGCTAAAGGCAACTGAGAAGCAACAGATGCAGAAAGAACTCTCTATTGCTGCCTGAAAGGGCTTAAATTCCTGTCTGTAAAGGTATTCCCACTTTCCCGTACCAGGAAAAGGAAAACAATTCATTACCAGAGAGATGAAACTGGGCCGAGACGGCATCAACAGACCTTACTAAACAGCCTTTGTCTTCCATTTGTTTCCCCGTATATCCACCTCCCCACATTTTACCACCCCCAAGAAGCCTAGAAACCCCACTTTCTTTTGTCTAGGAACTTCTCCGCAATTTATCATCCTTTGTTAAAATGGTATATGAGCCCTCAAACCTAACCACTTCTTTGGGGTTTCCTCTTTTGTGTGGAGACCTCTTGGGAACATAAAATTTAAAACACCAATTAAATGTATATGTCCTTTTCTCCTGTTAATATGTCTTTCACCACTGTAATTCACAGGCCCCAGCCACAAACCTAAGAGGATAGAGGGAACGCTCTCCTTCCTCTTACACTTTTTTGGCTAGCTGAACTTGTTATATTTAATTCATTTTTACATACAACAGGGGATGATTACAAAAGGGGAGCTGATGTTTCAAAGAAAACTACATTGAATGATTTGGAAAGGCTCTAGACTAAAAACTGTTGTCAAAACCAGGTGTGAGAAAATGAGAAAAATCAAAAAGGCTAGGGCTGTACTCAGATTTCTAAGTACACCTAAGTTTTGCTCTACTTTGAAGAAATCCAAAGTGGTAACAGTAAGTGATACATTACGAGCATGCTTTACACAAGAGAGGGCTCCAAGCAATGAATCCATGTTCAAAAGTCCTTGGCTCTTCCAAGTGGCAAACGCAAGCACTCCCTTGGAAAGGGCCTTGGTTCGACATCAATCATTGGAAAATAATGCAGATTTATTAAGTTTTAAAATAAAATCATTATGGTGTGCATGTTTTTAAAGATTCCTGGGAGTAAGCAGACTGGCTCCAGCTGGACAAGAGCATCTTCTCTACGGGCTCTATGCCTGAAACTCTGCACTAGAATCCTTAAGCACACGCAGGTTTGCGGACCACTATGCTCACTCTGAGGAACTGAGGAACCCACCTGCTGCTGGGCATCACATCATTCTGCCTGAGGATACCTATTAAATGCTTAGAAAGGAGGGAGGCTGTGCATCTACATGTCTCAAAGGACTACTCCCCTCTCGTTTGATTTCTAGCTTCTGGACCCTTTCCTTGTGTAAGTGGGTTTGCTCTTGAAAAGAATAAGCAAGATAACACATGTGGAAGCCTCTAGCATGGACCCACTATACAGGACATGTCAATCATTTGTGGGGTTTCAAACTGAAATCTTTCTTGATCAAACCCTCAAACACACTTCTAATTGCCTGTTTGCTGTAACTTGACTTCAAATGTCTTCTCTTTTCAAGTGGAGGTTTCCTGCTGTGGCCCCAGGGAATAGCTGCTACCTCTGGGCGCTGGTCTGGGCACTGCTGCCTTTTCGTTTTTTTTTCTTTTTGAGACAGGGTCTTGCTCTGTGGAATAGGCTGGAGTGTAGTGGTGCAACCATAGCTCACTGTAGCCTTGATTTACTGGGCTCAAGCAATCCTCCCACCTCAGCCTCTTAAGTAGCTGGGACTACAGGGGGCATGTAGTCACCATGCCTGGATTTTTTTTTTGGTGGAGACGCAGTCTTGCTCAATTGCCCAGGCTGGAGTGCAGTGGCGTGATCTCGGCTCACAGCAACCTCTTGCCTCCTGGGTTCACGCCTTTCTCCTGCCTCAGCCTCCCGAGTAGCTGGGACTACAGGCACCTGCCACCACGCCTGGCTAATTTTTTTTGTATTTTTAGTAGAGACAGGGTTTCACTGTTAGCCAGGATGGTCTTGATCTCCTGACCTCATGATCCGCCCGCCTTGGCCTCATGCCTGGATAATTTAAAAAAAAAAAACAAAAACCTTCAAAACCTAGGAAAATAGTTATTTTTATGAAGATGGGGTCCTTACTATGTTGCCCAGGCTGGTCTCAAACTCCTGGCCTCAAGCTATCCTCCAGCTTCAGCTTCCCAAAGCGCTGGGATTACAAGTGTGAGCCACCACACCTGGCCTGGTCTCCTGATTTGTTAATCTTCCCTGGGGTTAAGTTCTAATTTCTGAGACTAAATCATAAAAGGCCCTAGAAAGCCCTGGGGCTTCTTCCTAGAGGGCAGCTGTGCCTCTTATACTTCCCTGATAATCACAGAGGAAAGGGAGATGGATCATCTACTCATATTCTTACTGAGAGGAAATCACACTCCAGCTCCTCAGAAGCAGCCAGGTTTTCCTCAACACTTTCTCTTAGGAGTTTCCTTTGGTTGAAATGCTCATGAAATGCAAGGTGTGCTAAGGTATTAATATTTCCTCAGTCATTTTCCTACTAGGTCTGTTGGCTTCAATATGAAATCCAAAAGCCAACCCTATGTCACAACACTGATAAGGTTTACACCTATTTGTTTTAAGTTTGCTAATAGCATTTTCTGAAATTTCATACTTACGGAATGATGATGAATTATATGTTTGAATCCATGAAAGGACAAAGTTACGATAATCCAGTTTTTAAAAGCAATTACTTCTTTTGTAGGATTAATTCATTAGGGAATTAAAAGAGCAAGAAATTACCATTAAACATTGATAGAGAGAAAGAAGACAGCTAGCTGCATCACCTAAATTTTAGAATTTCTCACATTTCTGAGTGAAATAATATATTCATTTAAGCCTTTGCGTCATACTTAAAATAATTAAAAAGCAAACACATATATGGTTATTCTATAAAAGTGAGTGTGTGTGAAAATACTCCAGAAACATTCATTCTTTGGGTTCACAGATATTCAAATATCTGTGGTTTTTGGTGGCAAAAATATTCCTTCAGTATATGATTAATGTTTTGAATGATGGTTCGTTTCCCAATGACTCCACCAGTATCTACTTCAATTAGTTTTAGAAAAACAAATCAGTTTCTTTACGTAGCTCTAAAATTAGTCTAGAAAGTAAAAACAAACAATGGCTTAAAAAGTGTCTGAGTGTGGACCAACAGCCTAACAGAGCTTCAGCGCGGCTTCTCCTCATTCAGGAAGCATGTGCCAGAGGGCGAACGAGGGCTTTCTGGAATGTCTGTGTTTCTGGCCATATATGTTGTTATTTCAATAGCATTTCTCCCCTCCTGCTCTCCTTCCCTCCTCTCTGAGCAAAAGACCCAGGCCACAAATGACTCCTTACAACAACCCTTGTCTTCCATGCGCACCCATTCTACTGGAATCACTCCATCCACAAGTACTTGCAGAGCACCGACTACACGGCAGGCACCATTCTGGGCACAGTTCGATTTAGTCTGGAAAAACAAAATGCTTTCTTGGAGCTTACGATCTAGCAGAGTATAACAAAGCTCTTCTCTGCACAGGTACCAGGGCAGCGACAGAACTGACCCTCCCAAATCCACAGGAGGCCTGCTGTCAGGGGCTCCACCAGCTTTGCAGTTGCTTTTCTTCCAGAAAGACTTCCTCCTCGTTAATCTGCAAGCCTGATTTAGATCAAGGCCGCAGGGGATGTCATTCACCACTGTCCTAAAAATGCTCCCTAACAGCTTCTATTTTCCTCTAACTAGTGATTATATTCTCAGCAGTATACAGGGGTCAGGGCTGATCTGACCAGCGCCCAGGCAGAAGTGAGAGAGGGGTAGAGATCATAGCTTTGGAGAAAAATGATGGTGAGGGCCTTGGAAAAATACTGTCATTCCCAACCCAACCTCCCAACTCCGCACAACAAGGTAAAATAATTTAAGATTCTATGCTTACACATCCCTTTTGGTTTAACCAATGCCACATGTGTGGATGGATGTTTTTTAGAAAGGAAGTCACTAAATCCTCATTTAAATGGAAGCTATTATTATCTTCCTTATATAAGAAATATAAAGGAATGAAGGTTCTTGTTGCGAATTGTTTCACATGTGGTGAAAGCGCAATGTGGATCTGGCGAGGGCTGCAGTTCATTTTGAAAGAACTAACACACGAGAGGGAACCAGCAAGATCGCATTGGAGGTGGTCTCCAACCAAAACTGGACGTGCGGGTTAAGGACTAGAGCTCTTAACCTTGTTGGCTCGAAGTTTTGAAAATCAAGGGTTCTCAAAACAAAAAATGTGTGTATATATATACACACACACATATACACATATATGTATACATGTATATATACATATATACGTATATATGTATACATGTATATATACATATATACGTATATATGTATACATGTATATATGCATATATACGTATACATGTATACATGCATATATACGTATACATGTATACATGCATATATGCACATATATACATACATGCATATATGCACATATATACATACATGCATATATGCACATATATACATACATGCATATATGCACATATATACATACATGCATATATGCACATATATACATACATGTATACATGCACATATATACACATCTGTACATATATGTATCTATACACATATGTACATATATACTCATGTATACATATATACACATATATACATACACATATGTACATGTATGTGTATAGATACATATACACACATGCACATATATATGCATATAGATACATATACACACATGTACATATATGTGCATATAGATACATATATACCCATATGTACATGTGTATATAGATACATATATACACATACATACATATATGTATAAACATACACACAAGTATACACATATGCATACACATATACACATACGTATATATACACATGCATACACATATACACACATACATATGTGTATATATACACACGTACGTGTGTATATATACACACACATACACATGTGTGTATATACACATATACACACACACACACACACACACGACTTTTGTGGACAAAAAAGGGGGCTCACAGATCTATGGCCTCCTAAGAGCAGAGATCAGGTATCCTCTCTGTAAAGAGCCAAGTAGGTCAGATGCAGTGGCTCACGCCTGTAATCCAGCATTTTGGGAGGCCAAGGCAGGTGGATCACTTGAGGTCAGGAGTTTGAGACCAGCCTGGCCAACGTGGTGAAACCCTGTCTCTACTAAAAATACAAAAATTAGCCGGGATTGGTGGTGGAAGTAAATGAATGGATAGCTCCATTCATTCATAGTAATGGATGGTTAGCTGTGTTCCAAGAAAACTTTATGTGTGAACACAGAAATCTTAATTTCTTATATTTTCACGTTAGTAAATATTCCTCCCGATTTTTTTCTTTTTCCAAAATCAGGAAATGTAAAATCCATTCTGAGCTTGCAGGTCATACAAAACCAGGAGCAGGGCAGGGCCAAGCCCACGGACTATAGCTCATCAGTCCTTTTTGGTAGCACTACAGTCCAGCACCGTGCCTGGCCCCCAAGTCATCAATGAAGACGGAGGTGCTTATCTGTCCAGGAGGCAACAAGCAATGCTGGGAAGAACGCCAGGGAGGCACTAAGGCACGCGCTCTGGTTCCCCTTCTGGCTTCGGTTCTCTCCATGAACATCATCTTCTCTCTGGACTCGACTTCCCTAACTGCAAAATAGAGCGTGCTATTAAGTGAGTCCCTTCTACCTCTGAACTTCTCTGATCCCTCACATACAACTAAGTAAGAGAAAACTGTATCCATGAGGTCAAACAATATAGGAAGTCAAACCTGCAAACAAGTTCACAAGCTCCAATGAAGCCGGAAAAGGCACCGTTTGGGTCAAGTGTGTATCTGAAAAACATTGGCAAGATGGCAATTTCCTGTCAAAGGGAGACCCCAGATTTCAGTTCATATTCCACTTTTTTGCTACACAAGGGCCTGGGCCGAGGAGAAAACCTGTTGAATGCACCAAAGCAGGACGGTTAGAATGTCTTAGTGAACACTTCGCTTTAGAGGAAAGTAGCTCCCCAAACAAACCAACACCATTGTATTTTGTTTGCTATTATTCTACTGAGCTTGGGTTGGAGGAGACACACACAGGTAAAGAGACGGAGTCTCTTTTTTTTTTTTTTTTGGGAGACGGAGTCTCACTCTGTCACCCTGGCTGGAGTGCAATGGCACCATCTCGGCTCACTGCAACCTCTGCTTCCTGGGTTCAAGCGATTCTTGTGCCTCACCCTCCTGAGCAGCCGGGATTACAGGTGCGCGCCACCGCGCCTGGCTAATTTTTGTATTTTTAGTAGAGACGGGGTTTCACCATGTTGGCCAGGCTGGTCTCGAACTCCTGACCTCAAGCGATCTGCCCTCCTCGGCCTCCCAAAGTGTTGAGACTACAGGCATGAGCCACCACGCCCGGCTAAAGAGACAATTTTAAGACTACAACTCAGAAGGGAGAGAGAGGAGAGGGCCAGGTGGTGGGGGCCCCTGAGCAGATGGAGAGGAAGGGACCACGTGCGGCCCTGGTGCTGACAGAGAGAGCGAGCCAGAGGGCAGCGGAGCGCCAGGTCGCAGACACACAGGGCACACCTGCTACTGAAGGCAATGGGGTGGGGGCACCAGTGGACACCACCCTCGTCCAAGAATGACTGAAAAGGGATGGGAGCTGTCAGAAGGCAGGAAGCAGGAAGCCCTATTAGAAAGCTCCAGCAGGTGAGAAGTCATGAGGCCTCGTAAGAGAAAACTGTGGCCGGCACAGTGTGGCAAGTGAGGAGAAGGAAGCCACCCATGTGAACTCCCAGTTGTGCTGTCCTGGGAGATGGACAGGTCATGGCACAACCAAGGCAGCTGCAGAACCCAGGAGCGGGGCTGGGGATGAGAGTAAAACAGAGGACACCACCGGTGCCAGGCAGACTGGGCTCTGACGGGGGAAGCAATGGCACCTGCACTGCCGATCACAACAGAGAAACGAGCCCGGCTCCCAAAGGCTCTGCTGGGTTAGCAACGCTCCCACTGAAAGGCATTCCTGGGTATTCACACAGATGAGCAAAATAAGAACCTGCACTTCTGTATCAATGCTGGCCACACTTAGAAGAAAACGCTTAACACGAGACAAGACTCAGCACTTCAGAGGTGAAGAAAGGTAGACAGCTTCAGAAACTTGCTGTAAAAACTTATCACCTAATAACCTAGTTAGAGGGAGATACTGTTTAAAGCAAGTCAGTGTGGTAGCACAGTCTGTGGATGGCGAATTACACAGAAAAAACTAGTTGCCGAATTAAGAGAAATATCAAAGGCTTCCAGCGAAGAAAGGAGAAGGCGAAATCTCTGCAAGGCTCCAGCAGATGCCGTGAGAAGCCCCGGACTCTGCCCAGCTCAAGGCCTGATCTCTAGAGAAGGACCCGAGCCCTCTGGGATCACCACGGAGCCTGAGCAGCTCCCTAGACACTCACCTTTCCCGTTAACAGCTAAGCCTGTGGCCATGGCTGCAGTCACAGGGCCGGGCACCTGAGGCACTAGTGGGTGTATCCTGGGCCTGCTCCCCATCCTGGCCCTCTCGGCACCGGGGCCCAATAAAGCTCCGACCGGCTTTTCCGCTGCCACTTCGGGTGCCACTGTGTCCTCCTGACCCTGCTCGACGGGGTCCAGTTTCTCAGGGCTCTCGCTCTGAAAGCCGTCCACTGCGGTCCTGCTCTTAACGGGGCTTTTAGGCACGAGGATCTTGATACCTGACTTCGCTAGGTCCATGTTCTTCCGGCTGGAGAGAGATGGAGCTGTGTTCTTCCTGAACTTCTGGCTGGCAGCAAACAGCTGGCTGTTTTTGGATTCGTGGTCTTTCCCAATCACGAGTGCCTTAGGAGAGGTCTTAGAAAAGTTGCTGTTGGTGGATCTGGAGATTTGTTTCCTAGCATTGTTGGGAGAGGTCCTGTTTGTTCTGGTCAATGTGCTCTCCTTCTGCTTCTCCGTGTGGCGTCTGTTGAAGTCGTGGATGTATTCCTCACAGTTCACGAGGTGCTGTTCCGGCTCCCAAGTGTCGTCCTCGCTGTCATAGCCTTTCCACCGAACCAAATACTCTGTCTTCCCTTTTTTATTTTTCCTTTTGTCAACAATCCTTTCAACCTGTTCATAAAAGGAAAAAAATAGTTTTAAAAAAATCAAAATTTGGGGGGAAAAGTGCAAGTTTCATTAGGAAACATCAAAAATAGCAAAAACCACAATAGATGATAAAATGATCTCTTCTGCAACCTCAATAAAATAGTAATAGGCCATTTGGGTTGTGGACAATTTCCCTGAAAGTAAGTCAAACAAGATGCTAAATTTTTATGCTGAGAACGTGTGGATATGCATTAGGTGACTTATGTTTCTTGTGACTGAAAGGGGCTCTCTGCTATTTCTGTGTTGAAGCCTGACCACCGAGTTGGTTTCCACACTCATGGCTGGAGCAGCTCGAGGCATCTGCAGCTGTGCCTGGTCATCCCAGGGTTCCAGCAGCGGGCACCCAGGCAACAGCCTGGAGTGGTGACAGCAATGAGCTACAAGGCGCTGAGAACCTTCTGTGGTGTGAAACTGCCATCAAAGAAACATATGATCTGTATCACAAGTATCATTCAGAAGCACTCAATTAAAACTAAAAAGGTCAACAGAGAACATCATACTTGATTGTAATAAAACAGTCTAGAGCGATCAGGTTATTTTCAAATCTTGGTTTTAATTAATTTTACACTAACATCTTTCAATGGAGATGCTGTTAATCATTGAAATGGATGACCAATACATTTTGGATCAAATTTATCAATTCACACAACCCTGCCTTGTAAGCACGTTTTATCACCGTGACAAATTCTACTACCTTAACATCTGAAGCGTAAATGGAAGAGAGATCTTCCGCTACTCACATGAACGAGAGTTATGTGACACAGTGCCTCCATACGTTACTGAAGAAATACCTAGAATCTGTTATTACATCTGCAGTTACTATAAAAGCATCAGCTTGCATCCTGGGGGCAGCATGTGACTCTGTATCTTGTGGGCAGAGGCCTACAGCCACGGAGTGGCTCTTTAATTAAGAACGCAAAGGTCTGCACCTATCAATTATTAAGAACGTCAGTACATTTCTGGCAGTTAGAGGTAGGTCAGGCGAAACTGTGGCATGCCTGGTTCTCTAACATCCCCAAATACTCGAGCCTAATGAGTAGAAGTGCTGATGATCGTAGAGAACGGGAGAATACCCCATCCCCATCATTTTCTCTGCTCTCAAAGAAATAAAAAACTCTCCAGTATATCTACTTGAGATATAGAAAACTGAAGCCCTTAACTACTGAACAGCCTAAAATTAAATACATATTATTGCTTCTGAGAAAAAAGGATTAGGAACAGCAAGACCTTAGCTCATCACAGGGCCGATTTCACGTCTGACAGATCTCCACAGAGTCAGAATTAACGTCAGGTCACCAAGGGCGAGTCCACGCGGTCCGTATCATAGCAGGGAAAGCTCTTGAAAGCGATTTTTCCCTTGCTCCTTCACTTGTGAATAGTTGTGTATGAGGGTGTATTTCAATTTAAGTAAAAGACATATTTCTGGAAAAGTCCACATAGATGACGTTTTTGCAGAAATAGTTTAAGAGTTTTAAAAGAAAAGGGGCAATGAGATTATGTCTTGTAGGAAAGCTATGTTTAATGTTCCCCCTGCCTCCTGCCCAACCCACCTTAAATCAATGTCCACTCCAGAAGCGGGCAGTATACTAAACCAGAGTATTCCCGTTTGCTTTCCTCTGTTTCCTTAGAGCCGAGGCAGGAGCCTGGTGGAGCACACTGCTTTTGTTTCCCCTCCCTCCTTAACCATGTACCACTGGTTCCCCCAGGGCCAGCATCCCTGGGGACCTGCTGCTGCCAGGCCCCAGGCAGATCCTGTCCCTCCCTCCTCAGGAAATTGAGCAAAGAGGAAGAGCAACAGTAGCCTCCGCAGCTAACGGTAGGTGTGTGCTCCGTTTTTAGGCATACTCAGTGGCCAGACTGAGTATACATAAGGAAGTCATAGTGGACACATTAGACCAGGAGTTGGCAAACTTTACATAAACTGCCAAAGAGTAAATGTTTTAGGCTTATGGGTCATCTGGTCTCCCAATCACTTAACCCTGTTCTTATAGCAAGGAAGTAGCGAGACACAATATGTAATGAATGAAATGGCATTAAACAAAGACAAAAACAAAAAAACCCTCTATCTATGGACACTAAAATTTGAATTTTATAACTCACACATCATAAAATATTATTATTCTTTTGATCTTTTCCAGCTAGTAAAAAAATGTGGGCCGGGCACGGTGGCTCACGCCTGTAATTCCAGCACTTTGGGAGGCCAAGGCGGGCGGATCACGAGGTCAGGAGTTTGAGACCAGCCTGGACAACATGGTGAAACCCCGTCTCTACTAAAAATACACAAAATTAGCTGGGCATGGTGGTGCACACCTGTAGTCCCAGCTACTCAGGAGGCTGAAGCAGGAGAATTGCTTGAACCAGGAGGTGGAGGTTGCGGTGAGCCAAGATCGAGCCACTGCACTCCAGCCTGGGCGACAGTGCAAGACTCCGTCTCAAAAAAAAGAAAAAAAAAAAGGTATGAAAACCATTCTTTGAGTTAACCGGCAGGCAGCCATAGCTTGAGATCTCAGCATCAGACTGTGAAGGAGCAATAAGACATCCAGGGGCAGGCAAACTGCTCCATTAATTATTGTGATGGAAACATTATGCAAGTCTGACAAGGAGATAACTCTGCACCCAACAACAGCAGAATATACATTCTTCTCAAGCACACACAGGATACTCGCCAGCACAGACCATATGCTAAGTCTTAAGATAAGCTCAGTACATTTAAAAGGATTGCAATCATGCAAGTTCTATCTCCAAATGGGGATGATACTGAAAATAACAAAGAAGTTGGGAAAATTCATAAATATGCAGAAATTAACCCATGCTAAATAATCAATGGGCCACCTCCCCCCAAAATGTCTCAAGAGAAGTTGGAAACCACAACATACCAAAACTTATGGAATACAGCAAAAGCAGTGATGGGAGGGAAATTTCTACCAGTGAACACCTACACTAAAAAGAAGAAAGACCTCAAATCAATAACCTAACCCTTTATCTTAGGACACTGGCAAAAAAGGAAACTAAACCCAAGGCAAGCAGGAGAAAAGAAACAATTTAGAACTTAATAAACTGAAAAGCAATATTTTAAAAGCAACACAACCAAAAGTTTCTTTTAAAAAAATTAACAAAATTGACAAACTTTTACTTATTTTGATTAAGAAAAATAAACATCCACATTTCTAATACCAGGAATTAAAGAGGGAACATTACTACAAACCATATGGAAATAAAAATAATTAAAATACTATGAACAACTATATGCCAATAATTTTAACAACTCAGATGAAATAAACAAATTCCTAGAAATATACAAACTAGTCAAAATGAACCAAGAAAATCTAAACAGGCCTATATAAGACTGATCATCAAAACCTCCCTTAAAAAAAGCATAGGATTAGATAGCTTCACTGGTGAATTCTACCAAAATTTTTAAAAATACCTGTTCTTCATAAACTCTTCCAGTAATTAGAAAACAATTTACCACACTTTATATGAGGCCACTATTTACCTAATACCAAAACAAAAGACATCACAAGAAAGCTATAGACCTATACCTCTTTTATGAATATAGACACAAAAATCCTCAACAAAACATTCGCAAATTGAATTCCGCAATATACAAAAATGACCATGACCAAGAAGGATTTATTCCAAAAATGCAAGGCTGGTTTAATATGTGAAAGTCAATTAACATTCATATGCCACATCAATAGAATAAAGGGGAAAAAATCACATATTGTTTCAACAGATGCAGAAAAAACACCTGAGAAAATTCAACACCTCTTCATGATTAAAAAAAAAAAAAAGAAGTCAGTAAACTAGAAATAGAGGGAACTTCCTCAACTTAATAAAAGGAATCTATGAAAAACACACAAATAACATCACACAGAATACTGAAAGACTAAAAGCTTCCCCCTAAGATCAGAAAAACAAGATGTTTGTTCTTGCCACTTCTATTCAACATTGTATTGGAGTTCTAGCTAGTTTTGGCTGAGTGACTAGACAAGAAACACAAAGGTATCTGAATTGGAAAGGAAGAAGTACAATTATTGCTATTTGCATATGACATACTCTTCTATACAGAAAAGTTTAAGGAGTCCATTAAAAACTATTAGAACAAAGAAGTTCACCAAGATTGCAAGAGACAAAGCAACATACAAAAATCAATTTTTAAAATGGAATAACTGCATTGTATTTCTATACAGTAGCAATGATCAAACCAAATATGAAATTAAGAAAGTCTTAGTTATATCACCAAAAAGAAAAAAAACAGGAATAAAAGAGGTGTAAAACTTATAAAGTGGAAACTATAAAGCATTATTGAAATAAATATCTAATTAAATGGAAAGACATTCCATGTTCATGGATTTGGGGACTTAATACTGTTAATACCATAAAACTCTCCAAATTGATCTTTAGATTCGACGTAACTCTTATTAACATTAAAGTTGTTTTCTTTGTAGAAACTGGCATGCTAATCCCAAAATTCACACGGAATTGGTAAGAACAATTGAGAACAGCCCAAAAAATTTTCAAAAAGAAGAAAAAGTTGAAGAACTCACACTAACTGGTTTCAACTTAATACAAAGCTACAGTAATTAATATACTATGAAACTGGCAGCGTGGAACTACAGACATATAGCCTAATGGAATAGAAGGCTCTGAAATAAACTCCCTTATATATGGTCAAATATTTTGGACAACACTGTCACTACCATTCCATGGGGAAAAGAATAATCTTTTTAACAAATAATCTTGGGACAACTGGATATCCATATGCCAAAGAGGCAAGTTGGACCTTTACACCTCATACCACACATTAAGTTGGTCAAAGATCTACAAGAAAGAGTTAAAATTATAAAATTCTTAAAAGAATATAGCGGTGTAATTTGTTGTCACTTTAAATTAGGCAGTGATTTCTTGCATATGGCACCAGAAGCAATGGCAACGAAAGAAAAAAAGTGGATTAAACTAGATATCAAAATTAAAAACTTTTGTGCTTCAAAGGATACCACCAAGAAAGTGAGAGAATAACCTACAGAATGGGAGGAAAAAAATTGTTTTGATAAGGGACTTATATCAAACATATAAAGTCTTACAGTTCAATAATAAAAAGACAACCCAGTTTAACAATGGCAAAGGACCTGAATAGACATTTCTCCGAAGAAGATACACAAATGACCAGTAAAGCACACGGAAAGACGCTCAACATCATTAGCCATCGGGGAAATGCACATCACAACCACAATGCGGGTACACTTCACAGCCGGTAGGATGGCTGTAATAAAAAGGGTAAGTAGTGGTGAGGGTGGAAAGGAATGGGAACTGTCATGTACTGCTTGTGGTAATGTAAAATGGTACAGCCACATTGGAAAACAGTCTCGTTGTTCCTCGAATAGAGTTACCATATGACCCAGCAACTCCACTCCTAGGTATCTACCCAACAGAAAGAAAACCTGTCCCCACCAAAACTTACAGAAGAATGTTCATAGCAGCACTGTTTATAATACTCAAAAAGTAGAAACAATCCGAATGTCTATTAACTGATGAGTAAGTAACAAAATGTGGCATATCTATACTACAGAATATTATTCAGCCACAGAAAGGAATGAAGTACTGATACAAGCTACAACATGGATGGACTTTAAAAACCTTACGCTATGTAAAAGAAGTCAGTCACATACATGATGCCATTTATAAAAAATAACCGGAATGGGCCATTTTATAGAGACAGAAAATAGACTAGTGGCTGCTTAGGCCTGGGGGGAAGGTAACAGGGGTAAATAGGAAGATGATAGCTAATGGATACTAGATTTCTTTTTGAGGTGATGAAAATGTACAAAACTCAACTGTGGTGACGGACACAAAACTGTATATGCTAACAGCCACTGAATTCTCTAATTTAAATGGGTAAACTGGTATGTGAGTTAATCTCAAAAAAGCAGTTTAAAGAAAGGGGGAAGTGAAATAAAGACACTTTCAGAAGAATAAGAGCTAAAAGAACTTTTCGCAAGAGACAAAAGGAAATTTGAAGGGTCTGAGATTTTACCTGCTTGCAAACTACCAAGCTATAACTTGTTTTTGACATTTTCATGGATGCTGGCAGAAGACAAGAGTCCTCATCAGAGAAACAGTGTAACAGTCACCCCTTATCAGTGGGGGATATACTCCAGGACCCCCTGCCAATGCCTGAAACCTCGGATAAAACCCAGCCCTATATGCACTCTGATCCATCTGATAACTGAACCAGCTACTAAGTCACTAATGAGGTGGTAGCATCTATGGCATGGAGACACTGAACAAAGGAACAATTCACGTCCTGGGCAAGACACATCAAGACAACATAAAATTTCATCACCCTGCTCAGAACGGTACACAAGTTAAAATAATGAATTGGCTGGGCACAGTAGCTCACGTCTGTAATCCCAGCACTTTGGAAAGCTGAGGTGGCAGCATTGCTAGAACCTAGCAGTTTGAGGCCAGCCTGGACAACATAGCAAGACCCCATCTCTACAAAATATAAAAAAATTAGCTGGGCATGGTGGAGTACACTTGTAATCCCAGCTACCTGGGAGGCTGAGGTAGGAGGATTACTTGAGCCAAGGAGGTCTAGGCTACAGTGAGCTGTGATCACACCACTGCACTCCAGACTGGGTGACAGAGTGGGACCCTGCCTCAAAGAAAAAAAAAATTATAAATAGTTTCTAAAATTTTCCATTTAATATTTTTGGGCCATGGTTGAACACGGGTAACTGAAACTGTGGAAAGTGAAAGCTTAAAGGGTAAACGGGGACTACCGCTTTTCCTACCCACAGCAGGAGCAGCTGTCAGCCTATTAGCATTGCTTGTACCGGTTACCTGAGCCTGTAATTCCTACAGGGCAATACAAAGACAGTCAGGTAAAAACTGCTGGAACAATAGGTTACATTACAAGAAAGGATCCCTGAGCTTGGGGATCCCAAATGCTTATAATGGGCATGCCTGCCCACATCCCATCTTTATCCTACAGCGCAGTAAACAAACTTACCTATGGCCTGGAGACACTATCTTGTCTCCGAGGCTAACTGCTTACACCAACACTACTGAAAAGACAGTCCACCACAAATGCGCTCACTCTCTTTTCCAGAGACATACAGAAATGCAAAAGATCCCTGGAGAACTCTCTCCCAACAAGACCCACTCCTTGTATTTATACTGTCTCGGCTTCTGTCAAATTTCCCTCTGAGTATCCACTCCATTAGCTACTCTGATCAATCTAATACAGGCTGGAACCAAATCCACTCAATTTGTCTCACACATCTAATAAAAGCTGCTATCAACAGGACTCCAATTATCATGATGAGCCAAACTAAAATCCTGACCTTAACCATGCTTCCCGGCATCCTGGACCCAGCCAGCTAAAGCAATACCATAAAACATCAGGGTCCACCTTAGCAAGCCACGTGGCTTTCTCCTGAAGCTTCTGGACATTTCCTTTTGGTTGGGGCCACTGACACGGATAATACAAGATGTGTTAGCAATTGCACGAACTGTGTCTTGGCCCAAAGGAGGAAATCTACAGCAATCCTATCATCCATTAATGAATGCTTCCAGATGCTTTTATGGATCACTTTAGAGAACGTCATGGACAAATTTCCTACCACCATGTCTATGGCTCTCACAGTGGGGAAAGCTACTTGTAGGATGCACACACATGGTGAGTCAATGATCCCTCTGGGGGGCTGCCCCAGATACTCAAGGGTAGACTCATTTTGGAGAGTTTGCCACTGTTCTATGAGGACTACAGGATCTGATGGAGTTTTTTTCTTTACATACTCAAAGTTCTCTGATGATCACTGCTAAGGTGCAAGTCACTATGCTTCTAGGAGGAAGACAAGGGAGATAATACCTGCCCTTCACAGAGGGAGAGTGCAGTCTCAGTGTTGCATTGGTCCTGGAAAGTGCTGCTTACAATTACCAGTGAGCCCTGCATCATAGGGGCATAGGCTGACAGTGCCTTCAACAGAGCTTTCTAGATGGCTATGGCTCTTAAAGGTCTACAGCTCAGTTCAATCACTGAGTCTTGCCCTTGTTTTTGGAAGAACTGCCTGACAGTGGTCAGTCCAATCTATCCTGTTTGCCTGCTCCACCAGTCAGGTGGCACTCATCTGTGCCATGGCCATGAGTATGGGTGGGCAGACAGCCAGAGGTGCTAGCAGGTGTTCTGTGTGGCAGGTGCAGGCGCTGGCACCATCCCCTGCTGCTTCTGATAGAATTCTCCGCATGGGTCAAAGGAATGCACCAAATCGTCACCAGAGTGGTCTGGCAAGGAGGAATGGCAGATCTGAAAGCTTCACTTCAGTCCCTTGCAAAAATCTGGGAGAACCACACCAGGGCTTTTTCATCCCTGAGGAAGGCTCTAGGGGTGGTTCTGAATGACAAGGATCATTAATGTTCCCTGTCCCAGAATTTCCCAAGGTGTAATGCACTCCCCACTTCCCTAGGTACTAGCATTGTTGCTCTCCTTCCACCAGGACAAAATTGTATGTTTCCTATTTCGGGAGCTATTTTCACCTGTTTACCAATGATACCCTACTCATACCCAGCCCTTCTGTAAGCAAGGGCCAGATGCAAGAGGGACAAGGCAATTTTAGGTCGCTTACACAGATTGATTATGTCCTCCATTTTGACCAATGCGGGCCCCACAGTCATGGTAACATCTCATGGGTTATCACGTGGCTTTAATGGAAGGGCCAGGGGAGAATTTCCCAGAGCAGTGGAGTGGACGGCAAGAATGTACGTCAACTTGTTTGGGTTAAATTTCTCACTCTCCAGTGGGTCATCATCATTAGCATTGGAAACCTCATCTGGGGCAGTAAGAGCTGGAATACTAGTTGATGATCTTATTAGACACTAATATTTTCCCACAGGTGTTTGTCTATGTCAGGGTAATCTTCGACAGGGCTGCACATCCCTAAAGCTGCCAGGGTCCACTACAAAAATAATTAAGCCTTTTACTGTCATCTACCAGTGCATCTGAGGTTGGCAGGACCAGTGCTGGAAGAGCCAACCATGTGGCAACCTAGCTGTTAGCCTTCTGCCTTAACAAGTCCCACCCCTTCTTCTCCCAAAAGAACCAGCCAACATTCAGATGAAACAATTTGCCTGCTTTCCACCCCTGGTGGTTATCAATTTCTCTCCTTTAACTGTTTGAAAAGGGTCAGAACCATCTGCCCACCAAAGGGTGAAGACATCCTCCCACCCAGAGAAGAATTAGCAATAACCAGGGCATTGTTTGGGCAGCTGTGTTTAAAACTATCTCCCCAATTTCCCCTCATTAGCAGGCAGCAAAGTGAAGGACCATTTATCACTAGGATAACAATTTGGTCAACATGTCAGCTACAAATCCCATGGATTTTCCTAAAATCTCACCCATTGACCCATGAGACTCCCATCCTCCTCTTTGAGAAAAACCACAAGGAGGACAGAAGCTAACAAGTGAGCTTGCCACAATTTCAAGAACGCTCACAGACGACAAGAGACTCTTGAGTCATGGATCAATGTGAACTGGGAGCAAGCGCAGTACCCAGGGTACCAACATGTTCCTGCTCCGGTGTGCTGTGCCTCAGTCCCCAGAGGATGACACCTCTGCGTGCAATGGACGATGTCACAGGAGCAGAACCCTGAGCTTAAAAAGGCAAACTTTTATGATGGATAGTGAGCATGCCTGCTCCAGCCTCTGGCAGGAGAAATGACTTTTGTCTTCTCTATGAATGTCCTTGAAAAAGTAGTCTAGAAGAAACACAGCCAGTGCACTGCTTGCAAAAGGTGCAGAAATGCAGAAGACCTATGGAGAATTGTCTCCCAACAATTTCTGTCATGAGAAACACTAATGAAAATTATTTGGGCTGAAGCAAAATGGTACCGATGGAACCTCAGATATACAGGAAGAATGAGAACCAGAAATTGTGAATAAATATAAATACTCATTTTTTGTTTCTCTTAATTTTGTAAGACAGTGTAATAATGTTTAATGCAAAATCCCAAAAACACTATTGTGGGGTTTATCATATGTAGACAGAAAATATATAACAATAGCACAAATAAGAAAACTCAATTGAATTATACTGTTACAAGATTCTTCTGCTTTACATAAGGTGGTACAACAGATTTTTATCATGCATTTCAGAAGCATCTGATACCTTTATTTAAACCATGAAATGCCAGGTCTCTCCCACAGAATTTCTGAGGCCCGGGATGCAGCCTGGTAATTCATGTTTCAAACAAGTTCCCATTCGATGCTGAGCCTGAGTGATTACTCAGAAGCACTACTCTACAACGATCACTAAAAAAAAGGCAAAAACAGAAACCATAATAATATCAACAAGTATAACTAAAAGCCATTAGAGAATTATAACGAAATGTCAAATTTCAATAATATTATTAGCCAAAGAAAGTGGAAAAGAGGAACAGAGGAACAAAAACCAAAAAAAGAGAACTAGAAAAAAATAAAACACTAGACCCAAATCAAACCCTATCAACAATTATACTAAATGTAAGTGGACTGAGTGCTCCACTTAAAGGGCAGAAATCATCAAAATGGATTAAAAACACACACACACAGAACCCAAGTACATGCTATCTACAAATGATGCCACATAAAGACACAGATAAGTCAGAAATAAAAGAATGGTAAAAGAAAATGCTATGTAAATAATAATTTAAAAGATGGTGTTTCAAGAGAATGAGAAGACAAACCACAAACTGCAAGAAAATATTTGCAAAGGACTTATCTGACAAACGGCTGTTATCCAAAACAAAGGTATCTTAAAACTTAACAAGTGAAACTGATTTAAAAATGGGCAAAAGACATCTCCCCAAAGATGACATACTGATGGCAAATAAACATGAAAAGATGTGCCACAGAATATGTCACTAGGGAAATGCAATTAATACAACACTGAGATACCACTACACATCTATTGGAATGTCCAAAATCCAGAACATGACAGCAAATGCTGGTGAGGATGTGGAGCAATAGAAAGGCCCACTCCCTGTTGGATGGAAAGCAAATGGCACAGCCACTTCGGACAACAGTTTGGCAGTTTCTTACAAACTGAAACATACTCTTACCATATGATTCAGCAATCACGATCCCTAGTATTTACCCAAGAAAGATGAATGAAAACTTATAAAAACTTTCCAAACAAATATTTATATAGTAGCATTACTCATAATAGCCAAAACTTGTGAAGCCATCAAAATGTCGTTCAGTAGGTAAATGGATAGGTAAGTATATTGTGGTACACCCAGACAATAAAATACTATTCTGCACCAAAAAGAAATGAACTATCAAGCCACAAAAGGACACAGAGGAACCTTAAACATATTATTGCTAGGTAAAAGACGCCCATCTGAAAAGGCTACATACTATATGACTTAAACTATACAACATATTGTAAAAGGCAAAACTGTGGAGACAGTACAAAGCTCACTGGTTGCTAAGAGAGGGTAGGAGGAAACATAAAGGCAGAGCACAAAGGATTTCTAGGGCAGTGAGACTACTCTGCATGATACTAGATCCATGTTGTTATACATTTGTCTAACCCATAGAATGCATAACACCAAGAGTGAACCCTGATGTAAACTAAGGACTTGGGGTGATGACGTGTCAATGTAGATGCATCAAGTGTAACAGCTGTATCACTCTGGTGGGGAATGCTGATAATGAGGGAGGCTGTATGTGTGTAGGGGCGTGCGAGAGGGTATAGGGAAATCTCTATTTTTTCAGCCCAATTTTGCTGAGAATTTGAAACTACTCTTTAAAAAAATAGTCTATTAAAACCACAAGGCCAGGTGCAGTGGCTCATGCCTGTAATCCCAGTACTTTCGGAGGCCGAGGCGGGCAGATCATCTGAGGTCAGGAGTCCAAGACTAGCCTGGCCAACATGGTGAAACCCCACCTCTACTAAAAATACAAAAAATTAGCTGGGCATGATGGTGGGCTCCTGTAATCCCAGCTACCTGGGAGGCTGAGGCAGGGGAATTGCTTGAACCCGGGAGGCAGAGGTTGCAATGAGCCAAGATTGTGCCACTGCACTCCAGCCTGGGCAACAAGAGCGAAACTCTGTCTCAAAAAAAAAAAAAAAAAAAAAAACCCCACAAAAAAGAAATGGAAATATTATAACTACTCTTAGATATCAGGAGACTCTCATGAAACTAAATTTATTTTTTCTTAATGCTGGTGTTTACCGAAGTAAACTTCAAGAAAGCATTACAAGACATAAATAGGGACATTTCTTTATTATAAGGTCAATTTATTAAGATGCTATAACAACCCTAAACGTGTATTCACTTAATACAACAGCTTCAAAATATATGAAAGAAAACTGACAGAACTTAAGGGAGAAAGTAATCCACAAACTCAGTTGAAAATTTTAACATCCCTCTTTTAGTAACTGATAGATATATAATTCACTAAAGACTTCAACAGCACTCTTAATCACATTAAACTAAGTGATATTTACAAAATGTTATATCCAACTGTCGAATGTATCTTTAAATCACTTGAAATATTCACAATGATAGACCACTTGGTAAGCCATAAAATAAGTCTCAATAAAAATTTTAAAAGAGTGAATGGAATATCTTACAGGTTATGTTCTCTGACTGCAGGGGAGTTAGACACCAATAACAATATCATATCTAGAAATAAATAAGCAATTAGTAAATTTTTCTAAATAAACCATGAGTCAAAGAAGAAATCACACAAAAAATGTTAGAAAATACTGTGGGATCCAGCTAAAGCAATGTTCACAGGGAAATGGTGCCTTTAAATGTTCACCTTAGAAAAAAATAATTATCTAAATTTCTACTTGAAAAAAACAGAAAAATAAACTGCACCCAAACTAGTAGAAATAAGGAAATAATTAGGAACAGAAATAAATTAGAACAGCAATACAAATAACAATTAAAAAGCCAAAAGATGCTTCTTTGGAATATTATTTAAATTGATATAGCCCTAAGTCAAAACAGTCTGGAAATAAAACACACACTACCAATATCGAAATATAAGAGAATAACACTACAGATCCTACAGACATTAAAATAACAAAATATTATGAAAAACATTATACCAATAAATTCATCATCGTAAAAGTAGACATGTTCCTTGATAAATACAACTTGCCAAAACTGACACCAAGATGAAACAGAAGTATGAATATATACATATATGGCTATTTTACACATATAAAATTGTATATAATATACATTAACATATTAATTTATAATATATTAAAATGTTACACACACACAAATTTCTCCCAAACCTCTACACACACACACATCAAACCCCAGATGGCTTTGCTGGTGAATTCTATCAAACATTTGAGGAAAAAAAATACCAATTTTATAGAAATCATTTCAGAAAATGAGAGACTATTTCCTACTTTGCTTTATGAAGCCAACATAATCTTAAAAAAAGAGGTAGATAAAAACAGTAAATTATGGACCAATATCCCTCAAGAATACAGATGTAAAAATCCATATTAAAGTATTAACAATCTGACATCAAAGATATAACCAATTAAAATGTCATGATTAAATGTGGCATATCTCAGAAATGCAAGGTTTACAAAATCAATATAATCCACCATACTATGAGAATAGAAGAGAAAAGCCATATTTCAATAGATGCAATAAAATACTGCTGAGAAATTACAAGCCTAAATGAATGTAAAGACAGTCCATGTTTACAAATTAAAAGAGCAAATATTAATATAAAATTTCCCCCAAATGCATCTATAGATACAACACATTCCCAAAAATAATCCTGGCAAGCTTTTATGTGGAAACCAACAAGATGATTTTAACATTTACAAGGAAAGGCAACAAACTTGAAAGGCAATCCAAAGCAATCTTGAAAAAGAAGTACTAAGTAGGGCTCCTACAACCTATTTCAAGATATAACATCATAAAGCAACAGATTTCAAGGAAAAGCAGTACCTGTGTAAGTATCTACAAAGACATCAATGAAACAAGAGAGCACCAGAAATAGATTTTCATTTATGATTCTAAATTACACAACTGATTTTTGATTACAAAGATCCCCAAGAAATCTATTTGGTCAAGTTTTTTGGAAAAATGTAGCTGGGATACTGGATATCCATATGTTACCAAGTGAACCACAAACTACGATATACACAGAAGTTCATTCAAGATGCATTACAGGCCTAAGTATAAAAGCTAAAGCGATGACGTTTTTAGAGCAAACCAACGTCATCCTTGTGACTTTGGGGAAGGCAAAAGTTCCTCAGGTCACAAAAAAGCAATAACCAGGAAAGAAAGAAAATTGATTTAAAAAAAGATTTCATTAAAAAAATTTTAAACTTCTCATCAAAAACAATGTTGACGGGGACAGATTGTGAGGACAGAATAAATAAGAAAAAAAATGTTGAAAGATGTACAAACAAGCCATAGATGGGGAGATAATATCTATGAAACACCCACTCTCAGTACCAACTTCTGTCTTGGTCTATTTGGACCACTATAACAAAATACCTCAGACTGGGTAATTCATAAACAATAGAAATTTACTGCTCACAATTCTGGAGGCAGGGAATTCCAAGGTCAAGATGCCAGCAGATTCAGTGTCTGGCGAGGGCCCATTCCTCACAGATGGCACATTTTATGTGCCCTCACGTGGTGGAAGGGACAAAGAAGCTCTCTTGGGCCTCTTTATTAAGGGCACAGATCCCATGGTGGCGCCCTCATGGCCTAACCTCCTCCCAGTACCATGATGGCACTGCGTTAATCCCCAAGTGTCAAGATATGAATTTTGGCAGGACACAAACATTCAGAACACAGCATTCTACCTCTGGTCCCGCAAAATTTACGTCATTCCCACAAAATTCATGTCATTCCCACATGCAAAATATATTCATTTCATCCCAATAGCCCCTAGTCCCTAAGACCTATAAAAAGTTTCTAGAATAATGAAAAGACCAAGTATAATTAAAATGTTGGCAAAGATTTGAACATATACTCCCTAAAGTATATGAATGTGTAGTGAGCACATTAAAAAGTGCTGAATATTTTACTTATCAATTAAACATTTTTTGAAGTGATGAATATCACACCGTTCATGAGGGAAATGCAAATTAGAAGCACAATAAGTTACAACTACATGCCCATCAGAATGGCCAAAATGAAAAAAATATCAAAGGTAAGCAACTAGGACATTCATACATCGTTGGTAGGATTTTAAAATGGGACAGCCACTTTGGCAAAAGGTCTGACAGCATTTTATAAAACTAAATACATACCTACCCTGTGACCCAGCAATCCCCAACCTAATTACCCCAAAGGAATGAAAACACATGTCAGCAGAAAGACTTGTACAAAAATATTTATAGGAGCTCTGTTCCTAATGGCTCCAAACTAGAAACAGCACACGTTTTCAACAGGTGACTGACCAAACTGTGGTATAAATTATCAAAAAATACTTTGTAATATGATTCCATTTAAAAGAAAATTCTAGAACAAAAACTACTGTATAAACAACAACAACAAACAACAAGGGTGGGAGGGAAACTGACTGGGAAGGGACATGAATGAACTTTCTGGGGTGACTGACAGCTTTCCAGCTTGATAAGCTTTTAGGTTACCCAGGTATATGCATTTGTTTAGCTAAGCAACTGGTTGCAGTATTTAAGATCAGCACATTTCATTGTTAGGAAATTTTACATAAAAAGAAAAAAACTATGAACAAACTGGAATTCCAGTTAATGAAATGCTTGCTGAATAAGGTATTTTTAGGGGTATGTCTCCATTTACTTTAAAATGTTTCAAAAAATAAGATGGACTGATGGATGGATGCATAGTAAAACGACATTCTTTGTAGTGGGTTATAAACATTCACTGAATAACTTTTCAACTTAGTTGTATGTTTAAAATTTTCATAATTAAAAAAGGTGAGGGAAAAAGGAAAAAAATCAGTGTTCATTCTCAATTTAAAAATTCTCAGAAAATAAATACACAACCAACCAACCAGAAAAAGTGAATTCAGTAAAGTCACAGATATGATGTCAAATTTTTTAAATCAAATGTATGTTTATATAGTAGTTGTAAACTGAAAGTGAGGTTTTAAAATTTCCATTTACCATATAATAAAAAGCCAAAATATTAGAAATAAGTTTAACAAAAATGGCAAAACATGGCTGAGACAAATTAAAGAGTACCTATAAATTGGGCGACATGCCATATTTATAAGTTGACAAATAAAATATTGTTTGTCAATTTTTCCCAAATTGATACCCAGATACAATACAATCCCAATCACAAGTCCCAAAGGCTTTTTCATGGAAACTGACAAATTTCCATGAAACTCTTAACATTTATACAGCAAATGTATAAATAGAATAGCAAAAACAATCTCATCAGAGAAGAGCAAAGTTCTTCAGCTCTCACCATACCGAAATTCAAGTCTTACTACAGTGGCTAAAATTATAAAGAAAAACGTCAGTGCTGCTAGGATGCAGGACAACAGGGACTCTCCTGCGATGCCTGTCAGAGTCAAGAGTGGCACAACTCCCCTGGAAAACCATGTGGAGCTTCTTAAACACACACCTCCCTCAGCAATTCCACTCCTAGGTATTTTTGCCAAAAGAAATTTCTGTGTTTGTCCACAGAAAGACCCACGCAAGAATGTTCATAGCCACTTTAGTCATAAGAACCAGAAACGGAATCAGCCCAGGTACCCACTGAGAGCAAAGTGGATAAACATGCTGGGTATGTTCACACAATGGAACACTGCTCACCATCCCACGACAACACAGACGAATCCAAACGTCACCATGCTCAGCAAATGAAAACAGACACGAACAAGTACATACTATATGACTGTGTTTGTATGAAATCCTAGAAGAGGCAAACCCACCTGTGGAAAGGGACATGAGAACAGTGCTTATCCATGGTGATGGGGCGATGGGAGCCCAGAGAAACTGTCAGGTGGTGAAAATGTTCTGTACCTCTAGGGAGATGGTAGTTGCACAGGTGTACACATTTGTCAAGCTCACCAACTATACACTTAAGATTTGTGCACATACTGTACGTAAGCCATATCTCATTTAACGCACCTAGCAGAAAGGAGGCTAGGCAGCGCTTAGTCTGGGATCAGTCTTAGAATGGAGAGGTGCTTCTGGCCAACAGCACCTAACACTGCAGCTGGGTTTTCAGAGAGCGTGGGGTCCTCACAGGCAGAGCTTCCCATGAGGAGCACAGAGCAACAGTTCCTGCCAGGCACACAGTGGGGAAGGCCTCGCCAACCCTAACGCCAACGCTGAACAGAAACACTGAATAACGTGCACATGTACATATAAAAAAGAAACGCTATGAAATAAAACTGACAAGCTGTAAATAAGAGGCTATGGCTTATTAACAAAACGCTCTTTCAAATCAGTAAGGCCAACACAAAGAATACCCACCAAATTCTGAGTAAGCAATTCATGAAAAAAAAATACAAATGGCCAATAAATATGAGTAACGTTTAACCTCACCAAAGTGAACCGTTTTCTGTCTGTAAGGCTTACAGAGGTGTGAAGAAACACCTTCTTTAACTGTTGAGAGTGTGTGAGTGGGAAGAATTTTAGAGGGCAACTGAACGATGAGCACCAAAAGGTTTTAAAACAATCTTACTCTGTGGTTTGGGAATGTAGCTAAGGAATGAACACAAGGAAATAACTGAATGGGGGCTCAAAAGACACGCACATGTGTACCCAGGTACAGACAGGCAGAAGGCGGGAACCAGAATGAGCAAGCAGTGGCAGGAGGTGAAATCTGCACAGCTGCGGCGCATGTGAAGGTGTCCCCTGTGCGATGTTCCTACTTGGCGGTTTCAAACCAGGCTCTCGGAGCCTATTCACAATAAAACATGTCACCACAGGAATGCTAAACTTCATTTCTGAATTTCTTCAATAATGACAGAATTGTATATTATCACATCCATTTATTCTTCAAGCAGGTGGGTAGAATTAAGGTACAGAAATTTCTGACAGTCATGTTTTCCAGTGTTAAATGTAAGTTAATGTTCTAACCAAAAACAAAGGAGAAATGCTATGATTTAAGTTATTAACAAGCGTGAATTTCTATCCATCCCATTAAAAATTGCACAGAACAGTATCATCATTATCCCAATTTTTCCTTCCCATAAGGAAACCAAATACCACAGCAATGAAATGTCTCTCAGTATATACATAAGGAAGTAGAAGAATAACATATTGTTATTCTCTTCCTCCCCAATATGAGATTGGGAATTCTATGTGCATAAAAATTAAATATACCCCTTTTGCTAAAAGTCATAGTAGTCATTATCATATCTATCCACTTTTTTTCTTACATGGCCTACCCAAATAAAAATTGATTTAAATATTTAAGAGGTTAAGCCACTTATTCATGCTAAGAAATGGGCAGTGAAAAAAAAGTTAAGCCATGTAGAAATGATACCGACAAGTCCTATTGCTAGTGTTTTGTTCTAACAAGTGCAGAATGGTGTCTGGTACAAATAAAACCACTTGCTCTTTTGTGTACTTGACAAATCACAAATTGAATCATGTCTATATATGTGTATTGTATAAACAGAACTTTTCCCACACAGCTGCTACAACTGAGAAGGAAAAACTACAAAAACATATTCATAACAACTGTATTATTCTTCAGATACCTCAAAAGATAACAAAGCATTTATTATTTCCCATTGACAACACAAACCAAAAATGTTAAACAGAAAGCTTGAAGAAGCCATAAAGAAATTCCTGTTCTGAATCGGAATCACTGCTACTATGCTTTACTGTCTGGCTTTATGAAATGGATAGAGACCAAGATGAACTGTTCAGGTACTAAAAATAGATAAACTAGGATTTTTGAGGTTAAGAATTTTCTATCTAGTTCTATTTTCATAATAAAACGGCAAAGTTAGGAACTACAGTGTTATAGGCAAGCCTTCACATATCTTAAATTATAAAAACTTTGTGGCTGGGCATGGTGGCTCATGCCTGTAATCCTAGCACTTTGGGAGGTCAAGGCGTGTGGATCACCTGAGGTCAGGAGTTTGAGACCAGCCTGACCAACATGGTGCAACCCTGTGTCTACTAAATACAAAAGATTAGCCAGGCATGGTGGTACATGCCTGTAGTCCCAGCTACTTGGGAGGGTGAGGCAAGAGAATCCTTGAACCTGGGAGGCGGAGGTTGCAGTGAGCCGAGACTGCACCACTGCACTCCAGCCTGGGCAACAAGTGTAAAAACCGTCTCAAAAACAAAACCAAAAAACTCTGCCAACGTGTTCGCTTTTAAACCTAATGTACCAACCAAAAAAAAAAAAAAAAAGCCAAATCAAAACACCAAGACATGCCAAAATTAAATGGGTATAGAATTCACCAGGCACATAGTAAGCTCTTGGTGTAAAGGTCATGACAGGTTTCACAGCTGCAGTCTGATGATCACTCACAGAGAGGGTACCTTAGTGTTGAAAAACTAAGCCCTCTGCTAACAAGAATGAGTATTTCCACCAGAGGAATAAAATCCACTCCAGAGTGAAATGCAGCAAAGCTGTTCCACAGCCCACAAAAGACTACTCAAACCACACACTGATACACTTGCGCACACATACTGAGACCAATGACAGACAGATAAAGCATTTAGGAACCAGAATACAACAGCTCTGGTCAGAAACCCAAACTGCAACTCCTGCACAGAGATCCTGGGCGATGTTATGGAGGCAGGACCTCTTCCAACCTCACGATGCAGGCTCCTAACAGCAAAACTGTCACAATGCCAATGCGGAATATTAGGGGTCAGTGGGAACTTAGGTTCCTAGAGCCGTAACATGAATATCAGAAGATGAGTGTCAGACAGACTAGGGGTACTTAGCAGTTTTTGTGAGAAAGCGCCCCTTTGTATTTCTTCTAAAGCTCATCTAGGGGAGACTATTTAGGGTGGAGAGGACACGGCCAAATATAAATTTTACAAAAAATCCCAACCCACTAGAGCGAATCACAGATGCACAGTCAATATTTGCAGGCTCCAGGTTTGACACTAGCTTGTAGGTCTGCCACGTGAGAGGCTGCAATGCTGAGACCCTTCAGTGTGTTGGAGCCTCCTAACCAGATGGATCCTAGAGAGTCTGGTTTCACTAACTGCAGTCTTCCATTATAGCAATATTTATTGAACCCCTATGACACATCAGCCCTCTTGTTTTTGCTGAGGATATAGTACGGGTTGAACAATCATAATCTGAAAATCCAAAATCCAAAATGCTCTAAAATCCAAAACTTTTTGGGGCAGCCTTGAAACCTGCCTAAAATTTGAATGCACTTCCAATCCACATTAAAATCCAACAGCAGGGAGTGGAAGCCTTATGGGCTCAAGATGTTTGTCCACAATCCCTGACCAAAACATGGCTCACAAATAAACTATGCAGCTAAAACAGTGACCCCTAGAAAGTCAGACTAAAAGAAAGGGGGACAGGGAGTGATGAAGAGAACAAAATTCAGTGCCCATTCAATGTAGAGAGGACAAGATCCCTCAACTTACACCTAGGCAAGTGACTTAAAACACACATAAACACACACTCATAAAACAACAAAACTTAAAGTAAAATCCTGAAAACAAAACACCAGGAAAAGCATGAGTCATACTCAAATTAGAACAGTCAGTGGAAACTAAGTTTGCCTAGAATTTGGGTTTAGTGGAAAAGGACTTCACATCAACTATTTTAATTGTGCTTGAAAGATTTTTTAAAACCATGTTTAATGAACTAAAGGAAAACATGACGACAATGACTCAAATAGAAAATGCCAACAAATAAAAAGCGTGTATCAAAATAAAAAAATAATAATTCTAGAGTTTAAAAATCCAATGATGGACTCAACAGTAGATTTGAAATGGCAGAAGAAAGAATCAGTGAACATTTGAGAGATCAACAGAACTTATCCAAGAGACAGAGAGAAAAAAAGATGTAAGAAAAACGAAACCTCAGAGAGTGGGGAAACAGCAACAGTGCAGACATACATGTAATGGGAATACCCTAAGGAGAGGAGAGGGGAGAGAGAAGGAACAGAAAAAGCATTTTAAGAAATAATGGCTAAAAATATTCCAAATAAAATCAAATGCAATTATGTATAGATCCAAGAAGCTCAACAAAGCCCAAATAATATAAACACAAAGAGATTCTTAGACATATATTACTTAAACTGGTGGAAGCTAAAGATAAAAATCTTAAAACCAGCAAGGAAAACAATAATTCATAATTTATACAGGAATAAAAATATATACAAATATAATGGCTGACTCTTCATCAGAAATGATGGAGGTCAGAAAGCAGAATGAATGACATACTCAAAGCACCAAAGGGAAAACAATCAATAATTCTATATTTAGCAAAACTATTCTTCAAAAATGAAGACAAGGCTAGGCACAGTGGCACACACCTCAGTGGCACACACCTGTAGTCCAAGCTACTTGGGAAGCTGAGGTAGGAGGATTGCTTGAACCTATGAGTTTGAAGTTACAGTGAGCTATGATCACACCACTGCACTCCAGCCTGTGCAAAAGATCAAGACCCCATCTCATAACAATAAATGAATAAATTATTTTTAAAAGAAAAAAGAAAAAAAATGAAAGCAAAATAAAGATATTCCCAAATAAATGAAAATCTCTTGTCAACAGAGCTGCCTGACAGAAAGCATAAAGTCCTATAGGCTGAAAGGACTCCAGACAGTAATGCAAAACCATGGGAAGAACGGTAAAGCACTGGAAATGGGAAATATGTGAGTAAATACAGAAGACTATTTGAATATTGCTTCTTCTCTTTATTTAAATGACATAACATTGTATAAAGCATTAATTACAACACTATGCACATTTAACACATTCTGTATAATAAATATGAATAAATTACCAAAAAGGAGGGGGGAGGAGATGGAGAGATACAAAGTAAAGCTGATATACTGACTAGAATTAGGGTAGTTATTAATCCCAAGCGGGCTGCGATAAATTAAAATGCATATTATAATCCCTACAGCAATCAATAAGAAAATAATTCAAATATTAAGTTTTAAAATTCAGAGAATATGGTACAGGCCAAAAAATAAAAACAAACACATTTAACTAGGAGGCAGCAGGAAAGGATAAATAAACTGACAAGAGATAAACAGAAAAACAGCAAACTGACAAACTAAAACCAACCATATCAATAACTACATTAAATGTGAAATAACTAAACACTCCTAACTAAATGCAGAAATTACTAGATCAAGGCCAGGCACGGTGGCTCACACCTGTAGTCTCAACGCCTTGGGAGGCCAAGGCGAGTGGATCACCTGAGGTCAGGAGTTTGAGACCAGCCTGGCCAACACAGTGAAACCCCATCTCTACTAAAAACACAAAAATTAGCTGGGCATGGTGGTGGGCACCTGTAGTCCCAGCTACTTGGGAGGCCGAGACAGGAGAATCGCTTGAACCCAGGAGGCAGAGGCTGCAGTGAGCCAAGATTGCACCACTGCACTCCAGCCTGGGTGACAGAGCAGGACTCCGTCTCGAAAAAAAAAAAAATAAGAAAGAAATGATCAGATCAGATTTTTTTAAAGCAACCATATGCTGTCTGCAAGAGACACATTTTAGATTCTAAGACAGAACTTGGTAAAAAGTAAAAGGATAGGAAAAAATATGACATGAAAACAATAACCATAAGAAGTGACTGTATGGGTATCAAAGAAGACTTTTAGCCAATAAATATTACTACAGACAAAGAGAAACATTTCATAATGGTAAAAGAGTCAGTATTTCAAGTATTTCAGTATTTCAAGTATTTCAGTATTTCAAGATGTAATAACTATGAATGTGTGTATGTATGATCCTCAAAATACATGAGGCAAAAACTGACAGAAATGAAATACACAATTCTACATTTATAGTTTGATATTTCAATAGCCCACTATCAATAACTGATAGACCAAAACAGAAAATCGGCAATGATATAGAAGACTTGAACACTGTCAACCAACTCATTCTGAAATTTATAGTCCATCCAACAATGGTCCTTCCAAGTGCACTCAGAACATTTACTACAAAAGACCAGAATGTAGGCCATAAAACAGGACTCCGTTATTTTAAAAAGATTTAAGATATATAAAAAGATCCTTACCTGGACACATAATAGTCAAACTACCAAAAGCTAAAGACAAGAGAAAATTGTGTTTAATGGCCATAATGGAATTAAATTAGAAATCAACAATTTTGGAAACTCTCCAAAATTTAAAAATTAAAAAAACACACTTCTAAAAAAGAAGCCATCAGTCAAAAAAGAAAATATAGGGAAAATTAGAAAGTATTTAGAATTGAATGAAAATGAAAGCAACACATGAAAATTTATGAAATGTAGCCAATGTAGTGCTTAGAGAAAATTGTAGTTTTAAACACTTATGTCATAAAAGAAGTGAAAGAACCAATAATCTAATCTTTCTATTGAAGAAATAAGAAACAGAAGGGCGAATTCAGCCCAAAGCAAGCAGAAGAGAGGAAACAATAAAGATCCAAGTATAAATCAATTCAGCAGCAGCAACAGAAAAATACTTCAAACCAAAAAATAAGTTATGTGAAAGGTTCAACAAAACTGATAAACTCTTCGCTAGAATGATCTTCCACCCAAAAAAAGAAGAGAGATGACACAAATAACCCATATCAGAAATGAAAGAGGAGACATCACTACCTACACCTGGCAGAAAGGAAGGAAACACGATATACTCTGAATAACTCTATGTCAACAAACTAAGCAATTTAGACAAAATGCAAAAATTCCTAGGAAACTATAAGTTACCAAAACTGACTCCAGAAGAAAAGGAAATCAGCAAAATCTTTTTTACCAAAAAAAAAAAAAAAACCCCACAACAACCTACAAAACAATATTCCTCATAAACACAGACATGAAAATCCCAAACCAAATTCAGCAACAGATAAATAGGATTGTGCATCATGACCAGGCAGAGTTTATCCCAAGAATTCAGAGTTGGTTTCACATCAGAGAATCAATTAATGTAATATTCCATATTAATGGATTACAGGAGAAAAACCACATAACCATCTCACTAGTCATTGACAAAGCATTTAATAAAATCCAACACCATTTCATGACCAAAACTCTCAACAAATTAGAAATAAAAGGGAACATTCTCAACTTGATAAGGAAATCTATAAAAACCCTACAGCTAATACGTACTTAATGTGAAAGACTGAAGATGTTTCCCCAAAGATCCCAGGAATGAAGTAAGGATGTTCATTCTCAGCAAGTCTGCAGATTCTTGGTAAAGAAAAAGACAAAATCTACATTGATTGGAAAGAAGTAAAACTGTCTTTATTCACAGATGGTATGATCCAGTATGCAGGAAGAAATTAAGAAATTTTTTAAAAAAACTTTTGAGAACTAATAAATGAGTTTAGCAAGGCTTGGATTTGTTTTAACATACTCCAGAAACAACAAACAAAACATTAGAAATGAAAAGGAGGTCACAGCTACAGTTACAACAAGTATTTTAAAACAAATGAACAAAAAAAGATATCTGTGAGAAATTATCGATGAAACACTAATGGCAAAATATTCTAATTGTTAATGCTAGGCGACTGATGATGGGTTCACAATTATTTGTTATACTTATTTGTGACAGAAATTTGAAGCTTTTCATGATAGCTTGAAAATAAAACCAAACTAGAGGATCAATTTAGTTCCTTTTTTTCTTCTCTCTGGAAATAATGGTGTAAAATTTTGAGAATCCATTCCCTTGACTGTTTGGTAGAATACATCCGTGAACTCTCTGGGCCTAGTATGGGGGTAGAACGCAAAGTGAGAGGGTATAGATTATTAACCCATTCATTTATTGAATGGTCTCCTACTCTTTTTTAGTCAATTTGGGTAAACTTGGTTATTTCTAGAAAACTGCTTATATTCTAAGTATTATATAGTAAGTCCTCACTGTCTTTGATAGGTTTTTGGAAACTGTGACTTTAAGCAAATTTATTTATAATACAACCATTTTTTCCCTCATCAACGTTATAATAAAATGACACTGAAGAAAATGATCTTATTCAAGGACTTGGCATTGTCTTTTCGCTTAAAGTAGCAGTTTCCAAGAACTTATTGATGACGTTAAGTGAGAACTTACTATAATATCTCATACTTGTTGGCATGCAGTTGTTTGTAGTCTTTTAAAAATACTTGCTATTCCTGTAGATGTGACCTTCTTTTCATTCCTAATGTTTTAATCTTCTTTCTTCTACTTGATAAACTGCCACTTTTAAAAAAATAAATAAATAACCACTTTTGCACTTGTATCCTCTTAACTGTATCCTTGTTTTGGAATTATTTTCTGTTCTTCTCTTTAACATTCTTAAAGAAAACAAAGAAAAACATCTCTTTTCCTTTAACTGTATTCACTCTTCTGTCTGATTTTTAACTTGGGTACTTGACCGACTCCAAAATTTTGACAACCACTCTTAATTCCGGTTTGTTTTCTTCGTTGGCCCACAAGTTATATTGAATTCAAATTTCCAAAATGCGTAAGATTAGAAATTCAGTTTCTAATCTAATAATTGTGATCAGATAACACAGTATGATATGTGTTTTTTGTTGATACTAACTGCTTTCTGGCCTAGTGTGTAAAGAAATTTGAATGTCTCTTGTATTTTAAAATAATTTATCTCCTTATTAAAGGTAAGGTTCTTTATGTCCACTTAAAACTGTAGCTGTTCAAATCTTCTGATCTTTGTAATTTCTGATCAATCTACTAGTTACTTACAGAGAAGTCATTCAACAACTGACACTGACTAGAGATCTAAAATTATGTTGGCTTTGCCTTAACTATTTTGAAACTATGCTACCGAAGGCAAACAAGTTTAAAATCACTTTATCTTCATGGAGAACTATACATTTTATCACTGTACAATGACCACCTTCATCTTCTTTCCTCCTTAAAATTATGTTTTATCCAATCTGATCATCTCTGATCTTTACCTGAAATTTAATCCTTTTTTACCTATTCGGATTACAAACACATTTTACCTGTATTTATTTTGACCATTTCATTCTATACTCTTCGTTAGAAACAAATGCTTGTTACTTGGTGCTGCAAGAAAACAGCACTCGAACATAAATTTCCTTTTCTGAGCAAGGCAATTTTTACTTCTATAGAAGGGTGTGACTCACAGATGGAGCAATGGCGAGAATAAACCTGGAAAAGGGAGGGGAAGGGGTTCTTATGCCTGATGCAGGGAGCCCCTACTGCTGTGTCATTCCCCTATTGGCTAGGGTTGGACCGCACAGTCTAAGCTAATTCCAATTGGCTATTTTAAAGACAGAAGGGGTATGAGCCCGAGTGGCGGGATGAGTAGTTTGGCGGGAAGGGAGGTTACAGAACAGGTGACCCAGGATGATTCAGGTCAGAGCCAGTGACCAGGGATGACTCAAGATGGAGCAGGTGACCAGGAGTAACTCAGGGCAGAGCAGGTGACCAGGGGTGACTCAAGATGCAGCAGGTGATGAGGGGAACAGATGTGAACTACTGATTAGAACTGGCAGGAAAGTTGTTTACTGAAACTAGAGGCAAGGGGGCAAAGAGAACCAGGAAGTTAAACTTTAAAATGGAGAATCAAAGAATAAGAGAGCTGAACACACTGACATACTGATTCTTTGAAGAGAAACTTGGAGTTCACTCTAACACTCTTGCTTTTTCTATAGTTCTTTGGCCCTTCCTTCCTATAATTTGTAATTTTCAGTTGTTATCCTTACAGCTTTAGCATGTATATTAGTTCATTTTCACGTTGCTGATAAAGACATACCTGAAACTGAGAACAAAAAGAGGTTTAATTGGATTTACAGTTCCACATGCCTAGGGAGGCCTCAGAATCATGGTGGGAGGTGAAAGGCACTTCTTATGTGATGACAGCAACAGAAAAATGAGGAAGCAGCAAAAGCAGAAACCCATGATAAACCCATCAGATCTTGTGAGACTTATTCAGTGTCACAACACAGCATGAGAAAAACCGGCCCCATGATTCAATTACCCCCTTGCCCTGGGTCCCTATCACAACACGTAGGAATTCTGGGAGATACAATTCAAGTTGAGGTTTGGGTGGGGACACAGCCAAACCATATCAGCATGCTTATCTATTAAAATCTAAAGTTATTTCCTTCCCTCCCAAATAATAAAAGGACAGGATAAAATATTATTCCTGATCACCTATCTTCTTCTTGTTGCTACAAATTTTAGTCAATAAAATGTTTCCCAATTTTATCAAAATCAGTATTACTGTTTCGTACAACTAATGTGGTTTAGACATACCTGCCATCTCCCATTTCCTTGCTCACCAATCATCTTATGCCTTTCTGAGTTCAATTTCTTTCTTTTTGAAGAATATCTTTTCATGATCTTTTTAGCAAGAGTCCACCAGTGGTAAAAATTTCAGGGCTTGTTTGAAAGTGTCCATTTCATTTTGTTTCTTGAATCATATTTTACATTAGTAAAGTATTCTAGGTTGGCAGTTACGTTCTCAGCTCCATCTTCATACTTCTATGATTACTGTGGAAATCCATAGTCAGTGTCATTACAGACCCTCAGGCGATCTCTCTTTCTCCCTCTGTGCCTTCAACATCTTCTACTTTACCTTTGAGGGTCTGTACTTTCTAATAATATATCTAGGTCTCAATTCAATTTGCTAGGGTTTTAGCGTGTTTCAACTTGAGGATCTTATCAGGGCCTCTCTCGTCTCCTGAGAAACACTAATTTTACTTAAACTGGACCTTCTCGTGCTTGAGACAAGGTCTTGGGTCCCACATAAGGAAAGGAAATGGGATACAGGTTTATTCCAATGCAGGCATTAAAAATTAAGCCAATTTGAAATCAGCTTCTGCATTAAATATGTCTCAGCTTCTGCAAGAAATATGCCTTACATGCTTATAAAAATTTGCAAAAGGATATTTATTTTCTTGATTAAACATGCTTGTAGAACAAAATGGCTTTCTAGGAGCAACTCTTCATAATTTCACACTCATGGGAAATACCATTTTGCAACTGGAACCAGCTGCATCAAAGCAAGGATCTCTTAGAGAAGAATGCCACCAAATGCAAATGTCAAACAATACCTAGTTAGCTGTTAATTCCTTTGGAAGGATCATTCTTTTTGAGTGTAAAGTGACCTTTTTTTAATTCCAAAAGAACAAGAAATTATGTGACTCGATTTTTTCTATTTTTGCCACGAAAAGCGAGGCAAAGAAGGGGAAGAGGTAGTCTTTTTAAAAATAATTTAATGATTTTGGATTCGGGGACTACATGTACAAGTTTGTTACAATGGTATAATATATAAAGCTGGGGTTTGGGCTTCTCGTGAACCCATTACTCAAACAGTGAACACGGTACCCAACAGGTAGTTTTTTCAACCTTTGATCCCTTCCCTCCCTCCCACCTTTTTGGAGTCCCCAGTGTTTACCGCTCCTATCTTTACATCCATGCGTACCCACTGTTTAGTTCCCACTTATAAGTGAAAATGTGGTATTTGATTTTCTGTTTCTGCATTAATTCACCTTGGATAATGGCCTTCAGCTGCATTGTGCTGCTGCAAAGAACATAATTTCATTCTTTTTTATGGGGGTATAGTATTCCATGGTGTATATGTACCACATTTTCTTTATCCAGTACACTGTTGATAGGCACTTAAGTAGATTCCATGATTTTGCTATTGTGAACAGTGCTGCAATAAACATACATGTGCAGGTGTCTTTTTGACAGAACGATTTCTTTTTCTTTAGGTAGATACCCAGTAGAGGGATTGCTGGGTCAAATGACAGTTCTAATTTTAGTTCTTTGAGAAAGGGAAGAGATATTCTTAACCAAGTGGACCACCTGGAAAATTACTGCCATAGAGTTTCTCTTTGAAGCTATAAATGAGGAAATAGTCTAGGAATTACAAACTAAGTATAAGCAAATTAATTAACTGTTCTAAAGTGTTTTATGTGAAAATGTTGTAGACCTAGCACACTAATAGCTATAGTGGGCATTCACATTAACTTAACAGCCCCCAAAGGTAGGGAGCTTTGAGATCATTGTTTATTAGATCATGTTTACAGCTCTTTCAGAGGTTACTTTTAGGGAATACTCTTTTAATAAATATCACAATATTTATTATTTACTATGGGTTTTATGTTTATAAGGCTCAGGTAAAAATTACTCTCCACAAAAGAAAGTTGTAGGGTGAGCTGTCACCAGGCAGAGCTGATGGCCACGTCATGGGCTTAAAGCCTACTTTATAGGCTTAAGCCATGGTCAGAATTAACTCATCCCACCCCCTCAAAAAAGAACGAAAATATCTCCAGTGAAACAGCAGCACTTTCCTCTCTCTTTTTCAAACAAATATTTATTTCAAAGCTAAAACCTACAGACTATGCCAGGGGATCAGGGGCGATTACAGGGAAGGAGGTGACTTGTTACTTTTCATTCTAGGGTGTTTTGTTTATTTACGTAGGACGTTAAAACAGCAACAGAACCTGGCACACACAGAGACCTGCACAGTACCCGCAAGAGCAAGATATCCAGGAGTCTGACAGTTCTTTTTGTTTCTGGTTTCTGGGGAGTAGGGGTCGGGGAGGAGGCAGGGTCCCTTTACTTCCTGTTTAGGACCAGGGCTATGAATTTATAAAAATGACTATGTGATTGAATGGGGAATGTACACTTTGTACTGGATGCTGGATTTTAAGGAGATGGTCATGGGTCTTTGTAACTTAACCAGATCCATGCGCATCATAACCCAGGTGCTTTAAAGGCTTGCTGAGTGGAGAAGTCAAACTGCCTAAGGACAAACAACAAGCAGGAAGTCACTCTGTATCAAGCACATGTAAAGAGACAGATACAGTACTGCGCAATGGCAACAAACTGGATCATGTGACAGCTTCCAAGGGCATCAAGAAGAACAGCTTTTAAAATCTACTCTCTTTAAGGAGCAATCCCATGAAGTTAAGATAACTTCAACATAGGAAAATATTGTGACAGCTTTACTCATGAAAACATAGCCTTAGACATCATATTAGACGTGGACTATGTCTTAGGATTCAGGTTTCCATTTCCTGTCCTACAGTCTCTTCCCCCTACTTCTTGAGAAAAGGCAGACCATGATTTACTGGCCCTCTTGGCCCTCAAAAAACATCTGATGCGGGGAAGTGGAGCTCAAACATGGCCAAGGACAGCATCTCTGGCTCTATTATCTGGGTGACCACAAAAGCCACTTAGGGGCAGATGACACTCCAACCTTCAATAAGAAGTCCTGGGGCCACCTCCTCCCCAGCCACCAGCCTGGCCCTGAGACAACTTATGCCCACAGTTAACGACTCCATTTGCACTTAGTGCCTTTCAGGCCTGGGTGCACACCCCAGAGAATGGTAACCTAGGCATCACCGTATACGCCATACACATAGCCAGAAAGGACACAGATAGGCTTCCCATTTTGCTCATAGCATCACATTTTTTCATTGATATTTATGTTTTAACTCTTCTATATTTTTAGATCCTCTGCATCAAATAAGTAACTGCCGTTAATGAACTAGTCTCACTTTCTATACTGTCTTGATTATTGATGTGATGGTTAATCCCGAATGTCAACTTGATTGGAATGAAGGATACAAAATATTAATCTTGGGTGTGTCTGGGTGGGTGTGGCCAAAACAGATAAACATTTGAGTCAGTGGGCTAGGGAAGGCAGATCTACCCTTCATCTGGTGGGCACAATCTAATCAGCTGCCAGTGAATATAAAGTGGCAGAAAAACGTGAAAAGGAGAGACAGGCCTAGCCTCCCAGCCTACATCTTTCTCCATGCTGGATGTTTCCTGCCCTTGAACATCGGACTCCAAGTTCTTCAGTTTGGGGACTCAGAATGGCTCTTGGCTTCTTGCTTCTCATGCAGACTGGCTATTGCGGGACCTTGTGATTGTGTAAGTTAATACTTAATAAACTCCTATATATATTATTTATATATTATATAATATACATAATATGATACAAAATATAATATATATGATATATATGTATATTATACATAATATACAAAATATATATAATAATATGTAATATATACATGATATACAATATACATTATATATATATTTTTTATATATATATATTTCCTATTAGTTCTGTCCCTCTAAGAGAACCCTAATATAATTGCTAACAAGCTCCCCAACTGGAGACTCACTTCCCATATGCTAGCACCTGCATGCTACACTATCAGGAGCTTCACCATAGTAGTTAGGAGAATGGGGAGGGAAAGAAGGGGGGAGTGAGGGGAATATGGATGGCAAGAACCGGTGGTAACAATCATATGCATTACACACGTAACGAAACGTTAACACTAAAGTCACAGTTCAAAAGTTTTTCTTTTGCTGGAAGTATAAACTTGTTCTTACGATCCTTATGAACTGGCTGGGCGTGGTGGCTCACGTCTGTAATTCCAGCACTTTGGGAGGCCGAGGCGGGCGGATCACGAGGTCAGGAGATCGAGACCATCCTGGCTAACACGGTGAAACCCTGTCTCTACTAAAAATACAAAAAATTAGCTGGGGGTAGTGGCGGGCGCCTGTGGTCCCAGCTACTTGGGAGACTGAGGCAGGAGAATGGCGTGAACACAGGAGGCGGAGCTTGCAGTGAGCCGAGATTGCGCCACTGCACTCCAGCCTGGGTGACAGAGCGAGACTCCATCTCCAAAAAAAAAAAGAAAAAAAAAGACAAAAAAAGATCCTTATGAACTGTGTTTGTGTTGGCAAAAGTCATCCCACTAGTCTAGCCACGAGGCAGCCACTCAGAGCTGTCTGCCTGCAGTCAGGTGAGGTGTTCAGAGAAAACCAGCACAGGGAGCCAGGAGAGCTGGTGCTGGCAAACAGATGCCCTTATTCACCAAACATCTAAGTTAGAAAGCATTCTGTAAACGGGGTATCTCAAGACAGAATTATCTCCTAAGTAAGGCAGAGTCCCTAAAACTTTAGCAAGTGTGCAGAACTAGCACTCATCAAAATAATCTAATTACCTAAGGACAGAATCCACAGTCAAAATCCCCTTTCCTGGGACAGTCAAAGGCAAGGCTGCCACCCTTAAATTGTGCTTTCCTTACAGAGGGAGTGAGTGTGGTAGCGCTCTGGAGACCACCGTTGGCTCTGCCAGGGGACCGTGGCAGGGACATAACTCCATCCACTTCTTCTTCTGTGATGCAAGGGCAACCAACTCAGGACTGAGAAGGTTTAAGCAAGGCACCCCGGGCAGCTGACCTACCTACACAATGGCAAGTAATCCGCAATGACCATTACTGGAAAAAAAAAAGACTACAAGTAGAAGCACACAGCTCACAGACTTGAGCTCACACTAGAAAGAAAATGTCACTGTCTGTTGTAATCCAAGGATAGGTTTGTTCCACAGAACATGTCTCTGCTGTGTGACTCACTGAAAATATCACAAAATAGAGAGCATGAAGGAAAGCTTAGTAAAAGAACTGCCAGCCACCAAACCAACAATAAAACCTTCCCATGAAAAAGGCTTTTAAAGAAATAACAAATCAGTAAAATGTGTACAAATGATTCTAGCTCTAGGACTACTCTAAAAGCACGTATACTCTCACAAACCCATCAGTCATGAACCAGCCCAGAATGAGCAGAGACCCCTGCAGGTAGCTGACATTTAACCTGGGTAACATTGGCCCAGTGTTTATGTGGCAACCACTGTTTTAAGCTCTTTACCTCTGTTAACTCATTTAATTCCTGCAAAACCCTATGAAAGATATCATTTCTGTCTTCCCCTTTTTCCAGAGGAGGAACTGGGGCACAGAGGTTAAGTCACTCTGTCAAGGGAGCAGTAACTGGAAGAGCTGGATTCAAACTCACACAGTCTAATAGTCTAATTCAAGTCTACACTCTCCACCTTCAAGCTGACAGCCTTAAATTGCAAGTCTGTACATAAATACTGCAAGATTTGCAGCATATCCTTGAATTTAAAACCAAACAAAAGGCAGGTCACAGGACAAGATGAATAAGCATGCCAGCCAAGAGGGATTGCCCAGACAGGCTGGCCAGGGTGGCGCTCGATCCCGTGGCTGGGGCTGTGTGGCTCTGGGCAGGTTCCTTAAGCTCCGTGAGCTCTGGTTTGCTCATCCAGGTGACTGGACGGCTGGACAATAGCAGTGCTGACCCTCAGAGGGCTGCTGTGACAAGTAGTGGAAGTGTTTGGGTGTGAAACATTTTAGTGCCTGACACCTGCCAGGACTGTGTTTGTGTTCGCCATTATTACATGTCAGTAAGATAATAACCTAGAAGAATAATCAAATCAAACGGTGGTTTAGTACTGAGTCTTAGATTTTTCCGAGTTTCCCTTCCTCTTTACTACTTGAATTTTTCTAGGAAAATATGTGGGTTTTTTAAATACAACCAAAAAAATCTTTTTAAAGCCTCACTCTGGACAAGAAGTATATTTTAAGATAAAAGGAAATGAAAGAAAGTGGATGAACAAGGCTCCTAGTTGAACTTCTTGCATTCAGAAATAAGCACAATTTTGAAGGGCAAGGAAAATAAGTGAAGGAGGCAGAGCCTTGAACTAGTGCGATACAGAAGCTTAAGTCAATGGGACAAGATGGGGCGGGGGCGGGTAGAAAAACCTTTAGGCTGAAAGGATACAATCCAACTTGGCAAATCCACGTCTTTAAATCACTATTTCAGCAAAGAGGTGGTTTTTCTTCTTAACAGGCATAATGAGAAGTGAGTATGGGCAAAAGCTGACTTAATTTCTTCAGCAAGGGTTCAAGGAACACAGCAATCATCAGATAATTCCCTGTAAAGTTAAATGGAAGACCTGGGACACATCTTAATTCAACAGAGCTTTCTGAGAAGCGCATGGCAAGAAACAATATTCTTATGTCCAATGACAGATTGTATTGAAACAGACAGAAGAGATCCATGAACAGGTGGTACTGTGAGCACAGGTCATGCCCTGGAGACCTGCCTATCAGGAGACTTTTAGAAAGCATCCACACACACCAAACCGGCAACAAATAGTCCTCAACGATCTACCTGTTCTGAAGGGACTTCAAAGGCCTACAAAGCTACAAAGAAGACCTTAAGTTTGCTAAAGGGTGAGTTACCAGAAAAAGGCAGAGTCTAGTAAGAGTCTCTTAGACTTATTTCTCAAGAATTTCAGCATATTTTGCCCCACGAAGGGAAGTCCTCCCCTAGAGCAACATTTGCAACTACCCTTAAATTCGATGTTTACTCTCGTGTATATAAAAACGCATTGTTATTAATGTAAAACTTTTCACCAGAAATTTGGGTAATTCTGAAATACTTTTGGGAAGGGTGTCTCAATGCAAAACTTCATTTTTTTTAAGTTCTGGCGATGTTTGGTGGTGATGGTTGATTATCAGTGTGAATGTATTTAATGCCAGTGAACTGTACACAGAAAATGGTTAAAATGGCAAACTTTGTCACGTATATTTCACCAATTAAAAAACTCAATTTTTACAATGAAAAAAGCCTGTGTTTTTCTAATTGTAAAAGGCCACAAACTATAACACTGAACCACGCATGACCACTGAAAGATGAAGGCAAGTTGCCTTTCTCTTAAGTTGGCTTCTCTCACCTCTGTGGACTTCCCCCGGCTGGCTGAGAAAGGAACTGCCAGGAATTCAGCCCCACATTAAAAATCATATGAGACAGTGATGGACAAAAATATCCAGACTATACTTACCAGGTCAGGTTAGAGTTTCTCTTTCAAATTAGTGAGGAAATGTGCAAAAATTGTTAACTAATGATTCTATTATCTTCTTGACTTTTCCAATGAGGTGTAAAAGGCTTCACAAAGTTCTACCTGCCCCAAGTTGAGATCCTGAAGTTCCCCCCAGGCCCCAAGCTACTCCATCTCAGTCTTCCCCATCAGAGTTCTGGGCTGGGGCCATCCTGGGCTCTCTTCTTTCTTTCCCACCCAGGTTCAGTCTTTCCAGAATTCATGCATTTCTCGCTCTTCCCGCTGCCATCCCTCAGGACCACACCACCATTGTTCTGGCCCCGACTGTCGCAACAGCGTCCTCACAGCTGTTCCCCTGCTTCTACCCTGCCACCCTCAGGCTGCCTGGCACAACCAAAAGGTCCCATGGACATGTGTGGACTGCCCTTCTGGCCCCTTGTCCCCTTCCCTCCTCGCCAGACACGACTGGGCTCTGTCTCATTCAGGGACTGTGCACTTCCATGGCCTCTGCCTACAAAGTCCTGTCTGCAATTATCTATCCGGCCGACCTCTTCACTTCACTCAGGAAAGGTCGCTTTTTCAGTGACACCAACAACCCAGCGATCCAAGCTAAAATTTCAAACCTTATCCCAATTCTTCATACCCCACTCTCTGCTTTATTTTTTCTCCTTATGATTTATCACAGTCTGACATATTTTATGATCTCATGTGATGCCCCTCTCCTCTACTAGAAGGCTGGAACTTTTGTTTGTTTTGTTCACTGCTATACCCTGGTGTTTTTAGATACCTGTGCTGTGACCACAAAGGAGGCACATTTGCTGAGCATGTGAGATCTCTATAATCTATATGAATGTGGGCCAGATCATAACACTTTTAATGTGTCAGAAGTTGATTTGCAATTCTTCTTTTCTAACTGCCTGGGGTATGCATTTAGCCAGAATCAACCTTGGCAACAAATGGACAATGAGCATAAGAACTACGTCCGAGCATGAGATGCCCAGTACTGAGCTTGGCCGTGACAAGGCAAGGGTTCTAAAGTCTACCCACTCTGCATAGTGAGAGCTACATTTTTCTAACTGCAGGTGGAGACCCCTTAGTGTGTCATAAAATCATTTCATAAAACGAGCCAGAACAGAACAGTGTGTGTTGCCCATAGTCAGGTTAGTATTCTATGAAGCTTTTCATCTTATATGCTTACGTGTAGATTGTGATGTAAACTACATTTTCAACTGTGGGCTACAGTCCAGAAAACTTTTTGAGATAAAAGATCCACAAATAACTTTCAGATGAATTTGTGATTCCCCTGGTCCTTCCACCAAATGGAAAAAAACTGTGTGAAAAATCGTGGGTGCATGTGTGCAACTTTCTAGGTTGAGAATCTATGCCTTCTTGGCACATTCCAGAAGGGACCCTGGGCTTAAATAGGTTAAAAACTGCTGATAAAAATTAGCTGGGTGGTGGCATGCACCTGTAATCCCGGCTACTCCAGAGGATGAGGTGGGAGGGTCCCTTGAGCCCAGGAGTTCGAGGCTGCAGTGAGCTCTGATCATGACACTGTGATCACAACACTGCACTCTAGCCTGGGTGACAGAGCAAGACCTCATCTCTAAAAAAATTAAAATTTTAAACTGTTTGATGGGAGGATATTAATAGAGAAAAGGGTCAATTATCTTTCATTTTACTTCAAAGGGTTAAATACTGGGCTTTCATTGGTTCTCTTTTTAGAATCCATTGCAGATCTATTAATTTAAATAAACCATCCTCCAATCTATCTATATAGTCAATCTAAAATCCTAAGCGTATTATCCAGGAAATAATTATTTCTCTCATTTTATCCTAAAGCAACCTTGTCTAGACATAGACTATTTCTAGAATTCCAACACTTGATAAGAAAGCTCATATTGACCCTATTCATATATTTCATAATTATAACCGGATCGGGTTGAACTCCGACCTTAGCCCTGACTCTCAACATGAGTCTTGGCTGACAATTATCAGGGGCCTCTGTAGACTTCTTCCTTTAATCTTACCTAACTCTTTACACTTCTAAGGCAAGTGGCCAAAAGAGGACAGGCCAAACCTAAATCGGTGTGTGGTGCTTCATGTACACCCCTGGGGTGGCTGGTTTTTGTTTCGACGTCACCCTGGGGGCTGACTCCTGGAACCTAGCCTTCCTTGTGCTGCCACTGATGTGTGACAACTTACCTGCTAGGTGTGTGTGCCCTCAACGGCACATGCTTCCCCCAAGCCTTGGAACCTTGTTTCTCCTCTTGTAGTGTCATGAGGTTATTTTATTCCAGGTGGTGTAGCATTTTGCCATTTGAAAACACCTGCCATAGTAGAAGACTTGGCGTCTTTATCCTCTCTCTAGACACCACTGAAAGAAACACACACAGAGCTCCCAGGTGACCAAGCGCCTCCACCACTTCACCAACCAAAATGACTCACTGGGAGCCTGTGGGGTGTACACAGTCCTTTGTGCTGGGGAGAAACCTCAAGTGCAAACTTGGTGATCTGATGGGGTAAATACATGACTAGTATGAAACTGCGTAACATAAACAGGGTGATGTGAACTGCGGATGCTGAGTTTTGAGGAAACATCTTAAAGAGGATCTGAGCCATGCCTGCAAGACGGCATCACTCAGATTACATAAGAATCTAAGCGACAATTCCAGTGAGGAGAGCCAGACACTGGTGTGCTCGCACAGGTCTCGAGGGTTAACAATACCTTATCTGCTGACTGAAAGAACTAGCAGCCTACGAAGATGAGTCAGGCCCAGCTTTGTCACTGCCCTGCTGGAGGAGGCCGTGTGTGCACAGTGAACTACACCCCCAGGGACACGTGTGCAAAGTACACACACTTCAAGGGGACTCACCACGAGCAGGAGCTCACCTCTGCACAGAGAATCAGGACAACACCTTCACAGAAGCCCATCTGTGCTGAATTTCGGGAAAACAAAATTTTACAAAGTGGGAGGAGGATCCCAAGAAGCAAGAAACAAGGTGTGCGAAGGCACGGGAGCACACGAGGCCAGCTAAGAGGTGCCTGCCATGCTGTTCTGCACACGCAGGTGTGCTGTGGCATGGCAGGAGAAGCTGGGGCAGGTGTGGGGACAGGTGTGAGGAGCCAGTGTGCCACACAAACGGTGATGGGCTCTATCCTGTACGCAAAGGTGACAGCTGCCTGGTGTTTTGTTTTGTTTCCTTTTTAAAAGATATTCCTGACAGGAATGTGGATATTGGGAGAAGAAAGGCAGGAGACAGGGACTCGATGCAGTAATCTAAAAGAAAAACCAGCACCTGAAGCAAGACAGCAGTGAAGCTGAGAAGAGACTCAAGAGATACTTTAAGAGCTATCCTTGGTACTAAAAATGGGAGAGGAAGGGAGGAGGAGGGGAATGAGAAGGAGAAGGAGGAAGAGAAGGAAGAGGTCTGCCAAAACTGGCAGTGATTAGGAACAACGGTTTGGAGGTTCCGCAGTTGGAAGTCCTGGATTCAGATGCAGGCTCTGCCATCTAGCAGCTTAGCTTTGGATAAGTTATGTTACCTTCTTCAGCTCTCTGAACTTTGATGTCCTCTATTTTACCGGGAAAAATAAAAATATCTACCCTCGCGGTTGTTATGAGAACTGAATGTGGTAATTCTTTTAAAGTACAAACCAGTACCTGACAAATGTACATGCTCAGTAATGGCTACGGAATTACTGTCATCAACTGCATGAGGAAGTATAAGGTGAGCCTTGGCTACCTTACTGTGTCAAAAAGCAGGAAAAGACTAATGAGGGAGTATGGGCAGATGTCAAAAGAACAAAGGAGCTAGGCACCGTGACTCATGCCTATAATCCCAGCACTTTGGGAGGCCCAAGAGGAGGACCACTTGAGGCCAGGAGTTCAAGACCAGCCTGGGCAACAAAGCAAGACTTCTTCTCTACAAAGAATTAAAATATTAGCTGGGCATGGTAGCTGGTCCCGGCTACTCAAATGACTGAGGCAGGAGGATTACCTGCACCCAGGAGCTCGAGGCTGCAGTGAGCTGTGATTAAGCCACTGCACTCCAGCCTGGGTGACAGAGACAGACCTTGTCTCAAAAAAAAAAGAACAAAGAAACCCATGAGAAAGGGTTCCCACTGGCTAAAAATTGTACAACTCAAACAAAAATAATGTATTTGAATCATCAAATAAAAATCACAAACCCACAATGATACACACACAAAAATGTTAAATCTTTGCTTATAATCAATGATTTTACACCAAATGTAAACTTGATTTAAATCTAAACAGGAAGGAAGGAAGGAAGGAGGAAGGAAGGAGGAAGGAAGATTGGAAGGAAGGAAGGAAGATTGGAAGGAAGGAAGGAAGGAAGGAAGATTGGAAGGAAGGAAGGAAGATTGGAAGGAAGGAAGGAAGATTGGAAGGAAGGAAGGAAGGAAGATTGGAAGGAAGGAAGGAAGATTGGAAGGAAGGAAGGAAGGAGGAAGGAAGGAAGATTGGAAGGAAGGAAGGAGGAAGGAAGGAAGATAGGAAGGAAGGAGGAAGGAAGGAAGGAAGATTGGAAGGAAGGAAGGAGGGAAGGAAGGAAGGAAGGAAGACTGGCCCTGCCTTTTTAGGAGGAATCATCATTTGCCCCAGTTGGTGACAGCTCTTCCTTGCAAAATAGTTCCACCTGGTAACCACAGAAGGAACGACAGGACTAGAAAATCTTCCAATTGTAACACCCACTGAAGATTCAGCAAGGATCATCAGTAGATGCTAAATCCACATGTTGAAACATTAACGGGAAATGGGATTTCTGCCTGGTGCCTAGATGTCACCCAACAGGTTATCTGCTAAGAGCAAAGGGGAAGCCATCGCTTTACAGAAGAGCAAGGGAAAGAGAAATAAATTACACACACCACCAAGAAGCAACTGGCCTGGTTACTTCAAAAAGTCACTATAGAAATAAATAAAAGTAGGGGACTGACATAGAAAAGGGTGTAAAATGCCACACTGTTTTTGGTTAGTATCATTATCACCCCCACTTATTTGAACCTCAACTGGGGGCTGGTAGATTCAGCACTCCTCAGTCCTGGACCATTCCCCAAATTTGACTGTTCAGTTTCTCAGGTTTAAACATGAAGAATGACAGCCATGTGCATCTTCTAACATGAGGCTGACAAAGCCTGAATGACTACGTGCACAGCCACGATCAGGGATTGTTGCGTTAAGACTTTTTACCAAGGTGCTGGTGGATGCAATGCGTCTGCGAATGCAGTGAAGAATTAAACGGTGGTTCCTTTCCAGCCAGGTCCTCGTGCCCACCTGAAAATCCCCTCACAAACGGCCGAGCAAATCGTCTGTTTCTACTCATGAAAGATCTTTAAACAGAGAGAGCCCCCAGACTCCAGCTTCCTACACCCACAAGAGAGGAGCTGTCCCAGATGTCGCCTGCCACAATGAAGACCTCAAAAGCTCACCCCTAACCACCTATAGGGAAAGTTAAACATTTGCCAGCCCAGAAGCTCTCCAACATGGTGAAGCACTCATGATTCTTTTCTGACAATCCTTCAGCTTTGTATGATAGATAATAATAATAAAGTACCTAGTATATCTACATGCCAGGCACTAGGTTAAGTCTTTACCATCAATTAACTCATTTGATTCTCACCACCCTGCTGTTACGTCCATTTTACAGATGGGAAAACCAAAGGTAACTTTGGCCCAGGTTACAGAACTAGCACAGAGCTCAAAGTTGGAAGACCCAGATTACTACTTTCTACTAAATAAGACGTCCATGTCCTCTGGCTCTGAAAGGGAACGTGTAGGCCAATCTGTAATAACTATGCCCACCCAAGTGAGCGCCCAAATCTTTAGGGCAGTATGATTAAATCACAAATACTAGTCAGTCGAGAGCCACAGACCCTAGTGCTCAGTTTTAATTAGTCATTGCCATGTGCCTCGGTGCCATTATATTTCCCCTGGTAATCAAAAACTTTTAAAAAATGAGCAGTACTCCTGGATTTTCTGCTTGTTAGTTAAGAATTCTGTACTGGCTAATGCAAATTATACATTTTTTCAAATAATTTTTTAACACTTGAAAATTTTTGTTAAATATCCAAATTATATGGATCTCTCCATTCTACTGGCCCAAATGAAGAAAGATTCACCTTATTCATCAGTCAGCATTTCATCAACTTAGACAAATTCTAGTGCGTGGCTTTCACGATCTAACTATATGCTTTCAATTATCAAATGGCATATTTCATTTCTACTTCTTGATCCACACTGTTATCACAAAATGTATTATATCCAAAGTTCTCCTGAACCATTATAAATTTTAGGGCTATACAGTAGCATTCTTACAAGGAAAAGAACTCTATGAATACTTTTAAAATTAAGAAACTTATAGAATAAACAAAATTACTAGTTTAAATAGCCCCAAGAGTAAGTAATAGGAAAATAAAACCACTGTGAGTTCCCTACCACAAGCTCTATTAAAATTATAAACTTTTTCGCTAAAACATCGACTTTTCTAGTTAATTGACAAAAGTCACCAAACTGAACATTTAAAGATAAAATACACAGCAACGGTGAAAGGTATAAGACACTACATCTCTTCAGTCATAGCTCAACCAGAATGAGAACAGAGTTTTGTGTATCTAAAATCTAGCTATATCCCTCGTGCCTAGCAGACACTCAACAAGTATTTGCTGAATTAATCAGAGAATGAATTGTGATACTGGCAATTAGCGTGAAGCATTACTATGAAGATTCAGTAAGCAAATACAGTTATCCTATGTGCAATTATAAGGCCCTTGTTACTACTAATAATATTCCTCTTACCCACAAAACTCTATGAAGTATGTTGAACATGTATTATATTTTTGCCAATCCAGTCATGAGAAAACAGGTTCCAGAGTTAAATGAAGTCACCCAGCTAGTCCACTCTAGTTAGTGGTAGGGCTGGAACTGCCCCCCTCCCTCCCCACCCTTTCCCCCCAATTCTATCCCCTTCCCTGCCTCCTGTTTTCTCCTGAGCACGTCACACCATCTCACCATCAAACACACTGTGTTTTCTTTCTGTGTTTGTGGTCTACATGTGAGCTTCATGAAGGCAGTTCATTAGTACTGTTTCCTGCTATGTCCCTTGAACTTTTAAGTGCCTGGCACTTAACAGGTGCAAAAGAAGTAAGAATTTTCTGACATGCTTAAATTTGGAAGGAAGAGACTTTTTTTTTTTTTTTCCTGGCATGACCAGTTTGGGGGATACTTCATCTTAAAAATAAAAAGTAAACTGAATGGACAATATTCTTTGAACAGTAAAGTTTTTGTGCAAAAGCAGTGGAGAAAGAAAGTAAGAGCACTTATTTTAACACTTTCCCCCAAATAACTTAGCAACATAACATACAAAAGACTTAAGATTGTTAATCTTTAAAAAGAACACACCACACGAATTATCGTGCTGCTCAGTAGTGACCTTAGTGTCTGCAGTCTCCTGTTTATAATTCTGTTAACCTCAAAAAGCACTTGCATTTGTCAGATAATCATTAAGGTATGTTTTCATAAAGACTCATTTTGCCAAAAGTCAGTACTATCTGTTTTCATGATCGGCTTTCCATTCCACATTTTTAACAGGCTCCAACACCATTATGAAGCCCCCTTCAAGATGTTTTTCCTCATCCCAGTTTGCCTAAAATGTTGCTTTATACATGTTGGTTTTAAGAAACACTCATTCCTGCCTTTAGGAATTTAAAGGAGAAACGATGGACTAAGGCAAAGAAGTTTCATCTAGATGTTCCTAAATAATCAGAATACTCTTAAGACAGACCACTCTTCTAAGCTAAATATGATTAAACCTAAAATTTGATCAAGAAAAAAGTATCAGCTCTACAAGAACAGGTGAATGACAACTAGGGCCTAATATATTACATTACTTATCTTTTTAATCTTTGCTGTTATGCAAAGAATGTTTAGAAAAATGACTCAAGTATTATTAACAAAGTAAACAAGATAAGCTTCAAATATCCTATAAATACAATGACCTTCTGCCCTTGTCTCTATCACCTTCACTAAGAAGGGCCAAACTGGCCAGCAGGTGTCCCACCAGGCTTCACAGAGAAGCCTCCAGGCAACCAAACGCAACTGCGTCTTCTATACAATTAAGGCCCACGACCCTCAATCCTTAGCATGTCCTAAAAACCAAATAAAGACTCAGACGCAAGCCATTGGGCAGCTATAAATAGCCACACAACTAAAAATACACTGTGCTAATACTCCCTAGGAAGAATTCCTCTCCTGACCAAAATATTTGCCTTTTCATTGAATTTAACTTTCGGATCAGCTGTGATGCAGTGCAGACTCTCTCCTGTGTCGAAGACCTTCATTGTTGTTTTTCTACAGCTGTGCACTGTTCTCATGTGCCTGGTCATTGATGCATTTGTCAAAAGAACATTTTCAACACTATAATAGGAGGCATACATCGGGCTTAAGGTACCAGCAATTGTTTCCAAATTGATTATCTAGGAAAGGACATAATAGGTAATTCTGACAACTTTTTAAAAGTCTTTACGAAACTCTCCAATTTCTATAAAAGTTTGCCACTGGAAAAAAAGCACCAAGAATCAATCTGCCATACTGGAGTTATGTTACCATGAGTTCACTCATTCAGCAAATATTGTCAGACACTACTAATTATCAGACACTGTTCGAGAGCTTGCCTATACAATAAAGCACCCCCCTCCCAAAAATACCCTGCCTTACATTGCTCACATTTTTCTTGAAGAGCCTACCTAATTTCATAGAATCATATGTAACTATGGTTAAATTTTATTAAATTTCAATATCTATAAGCAAAAGCATAAGCCAGTAATATTTTCCCATTTCAACACTGGTCACTAACCAGTTGCCAGCAGTTCTTAATTTCAATTATGGGACATGTGAAAGCAAGGGCAAAAACCCTCAGGAAAGCTTTCGCACATCTTTTTTCTAACCAACCTTATGGCAATCCCAACCTACAGAATCAACTACAGAACTCCTGACAATTGTTCCTGACTGTATATTCCCAAAGTGCAGGAGGCTTCCAGCACCTTTCAGCTTTCGTTTGTTGAGCCCTACCTTGGCTGTAGGGAGACACAGTTTTTATTTTAATTCAAAAGACAGCAGAAGTTGTAAATGTTTAGGAGGCATTTTTGCCCGTTCTAAAGCTCAATTTTTAAAGTATGAAATTTGAAATTACCACACTGATTGATCCTGGAGAAAACTGAAGTTTTAAAGGCAGAACTTGATACATACAATGAAGTGACTACACAAATCCTACTTTAATTCACTGAACCTTCAGTTCATGACAAGAGAAACAATGGAAAGACTGTTAACTTGAATCTTATACCATCACTCAACAGTAACTACAAGTTTCAGGCATCAGGTTAAGAATACAGATGATCTGAGACCTAGACCCTGCTATCACACAAGATGCTCAGCTAGAGAAAAATGGAATCAAAGAGCAATAAATTTAATTTCAACAGAAAGATGTACAACAGCAGCTCCTTAGCTGCTGAAAGAATGTGGGGAAAAAGACAGACAGGTCCACTAAACAGGACACTGGGGACCTACAACAGCTGGGTGGACCATGAGACAGGGACGGATGGGGGCGGCAAGTGACAAAGTAATGAGATGCACAGAGACTCAACTTTGATGCACCAGGGCTTTCCCAAGACTTACTGAATACCAATCTCTAGGAGGGAACCAGAAATTTGCAACTACCCTCACACACTGATGATTTTGGTGCACGCAATAGTTAGAGGGCCACTGGTGGCATTCCTGGGTGGTCCATGCTGGGTTTTAAGCAGCAGATAGACATGACTGTAACTGGGTCTCATTAGTTCACACAGCAGGGCTGTGTAAACGTAGTGTGCAGAATAAGAATGGGGGGATCACAGATCTAAGTGGATCTGAGACTACTGCAGAAACCTAATAGGGGGCTACTTTGCTGACCAAAATGGGAAAAGGAAAGAGTAGAACTATCCAAATTACAGAAAAGTTTAATTTTATGGATTTAAATAGGACAACCATATGTCTTGGTTTGCCTAAAACAGTCTTGGCTTACAACTGCTGTCTCAATGTCCAATCTGGTTTTGTCTTTGTATTTTTCATTTTTAATTAAATATTATGATTCACTATTGCATTAAAATAAGCCAGTTTGAGTTTAATAAATAACCTATTTTTTCTATGTCTTGCTTCTGTCACCATCTCATCTAGTAGCATGCAAGACACACATACAGCGAACAGAGTTCACACTTCAATGTGTTGTTAACTCTGAAAGTCAACCAGGAATAAATCACCTATTTTCTGGGCCCTTTCCAGGTCCAAGATAACTAACAGCTCCCTCTCCAGCACTCTGACGGAAGAAAGCATGCTGGCATCACATGGGAAGCAATTACATAGAATATTAGTCTGACAGCTTGTATTATAATGATTTTGTCATGTATAGTGTAAATCCACAACTATTTTATTGTTTTGATTGTTTGTATTTTACAAGCCATTCTAGGAGCAATGAACTAAAAAATAAAAATGCAGATTTAATAAGTACTACATTTCCGTTTCTCAAGAAAGTTAATAGTAAATAGTAATTTGCACATGTCTCCACATTTGCCGTGCACCCTGTGGGGTTGGGGTGCTATCAGTGGGCACATGAAAACCAGACAACATCTGAAAAAATAGCCATATCCACCTTTTTTTTTTTTTTTTAAGAAGGCAGTACCCAAAGACAACTAATTCTTAGGTGCAATCGCAGAATTTGCATTTATAAAATTGTAGTATTCACATTTCTTTCTAAAGTATGACTGTTCATTTAGATCAAATGACTGTTCTAACATAATTAAGCCAATTTTTCCCCTAAATGTTCTCCTGAACATTAAACACATACATAATAGCAGTTAAATATTGGCTCCTTTAGCTTGGAAGAACTTTACAGGCAATTAGATTGTGCCAGTTTTCAAATAGGAGATCAGTTCCGTTAGTAGTTCTATTTTTTTCATTCAACTCGTGGAACAAGGGTCAACAAATTGGTCTGCGGGCCAAATCCACCCTGCCACCTGTTTCGGCATGGCCTGCAAAGTAAGAATGGTTTTTACGTTTTCAGCGGTTGGAAAAAGATCAAAAGTTGATGCTTTGTGATATATGAAAAGTATACAAAATTCATATTTCAGTCTCCATAAATAAAGTTGTATTGGTATATAGCCACACTCATTTGTTTGCATACTGTCTATAGCTACTTTAAGGCTACCAAGGCAGAAGTTGAGTTGCAATAGATAGCTGTGGCCAAGAAAGCGTAAAATATTTATTGTCTGACCCCTTACAGAAAAGGTTTGCTGAATCCTGCCTTAAAAGGTTAAACACTACTGTTAATAATATCGTAAAAGCTCAATGAGGAACACTATTTGTTATTCTGATTTTAATACAAATACAGGTTTTCATATACACAATAACGAAGAACAAATTAAACTAAAGTTAAGAATACTTCATCATGGCAGTACCCATTCTCTTTGGCACTCAACTCATTTAGCCTTCAAAAAACTACTTTGAAAACCAATCCAGGCATCGCAAAATGACTTGGAACCTTTTGTTTTGTTTTGTTTTGGTGAGACCTCTAAGATTGGGTTACCTTTTGTTCAAAATCAGCTGGAAATTTTGATCAAAACTTTCAACAAACAACTGTCTTTTGAAAAGTCAGCTTTTGAACCTTTTGGCAAACTGCAATTGTTGAAATCAAAGTTTGCAAGTAAGCATGCAGTGAAATTAACCTCTAAAAATATCAAGTGACAGACAAAAATGGAATATATAGAGCAATGTACAATAATTTTGAAATTCAGTAAGTGCACTTTGGAGTATCTCAAATTGTAGAAAGAATAATTTCATGGCCCTTCTATTTTTGATTGGATAAAAACAACATTTTACAGCATCTAAATTTAGCAAAAGATTCAAAAGAATGAAAAAGGCAATTTATTTGACAACTTTTTTGTCTTGCAAAATTATTTGTTGAATATAGGTATTCTAAATAGAGGTTTAGACAGTTCTTATGAAAATATTTGAGCTATAATACTTCACATCTCATTAAAAAAACAACAAAATAGCCTTCCTTTAGCACTAGTTGCTCTGAACTCATAAGCTACCTTACCTCAGCACAAATAAACTTTTTCAATAATAAAATGATGGCTTACAGAAGAATAAAATCCAAATGTCAACAATCTCAAATGTACTAACTGAAAATGCAACTTTTAAGAAGTATGTACTTTTATGAGAATCTCAGAAACAAACCCATGTTGGGGGAAAAATATTCTTCAGAGTCACAAGGAAAATGGCAGACAGAAAGGCAGGACTAATTTGCAGCTCCCACTCGGACGGACAGAGCAGCGTGTGGGGACTCACCTCCTTAACTTTTGCTCCAAGAACTACGGCAGGAACGTACCAGGAAAGCCAAGAGAATCCACAAACCCTCTGAAGGAAGCAGATTGCTGCTGCAGGCCCCAGGGGACAGCTGAAAAACTCCAAAGACAAAGGACATAATCTCCCGGGAGCTCTAGGGCCCCCACACCACCTGATCCTCCCTATACTACCACAGCTGATGCTCTCTTGACAGCGCCACCTACTGGCTGGAGGCCAACCAACACAAAACTAGTAACAATGAACAAAACCAAACCACAATTAAGCACGCTCAGGTGCTGGTATCTACAGTTGAGAGACCTGAAGATGGTTCACATCACAGGACTCTGTGCAGACACTCCCGAGTACCAGCCCAGAGCCCGGTATCTCTGCAGGGTGACTAGATCCGGAAGAGAAAAAACAATCACCACGGTTTGGCTCTCAGAAAGCCACATCCCCAGGGGAAGGGAGAGAGTATCACATCAAGGGAGCACCCCATGGGACAAAAGAATCTGAATAGCAGCCTTTGGGCCCCAGATCTTCCCTCTGACATAGTATACCCAAATGAGAAAGAACCAGAAAAGCAATTCTGGGTCATACAACAAAACAAGGTTCTTTAACAACACCAAAAGATCACACTACCTCAACAGCAATGGATTCAAAACAAGAAGAAATCTCTGAATTGCCACAAAAAGAATTCAGCAGGTCGATTATTAAGCTAATCAAGGAGGCACCAGAGAATGGTAAAGTCCAACTTAATAAAACCATAAAAATGATACAAGATAGGAAGGAGAAAATCTTCAGTGAAATAAATAGCATAAATAAAAAATAATCACGACTTATGGAAATGAAAAACACACTTAGAGAAATGCAAAATACTCTCAGAAGTCTAAGCAACAGAATCAAACAAGTAGAATAAAGAACTTCAGAGCTTAAAGACAAGGCTTTCGAATTAACCCAATCCAACAAAGACAAAAAAAGAATTAAAAAAAAAAAAAAAGAAAAAGCCTCTGAGAAGTTGGGGATTATGTTAAATGGCCAATCCTAAGAATAAATGGTGTTACTGAGGAAGAAGAGAAATCTAAAAGTTTGAAAAACATATTGAGGGAATAATTGAGGAAAACTTCCCCGGCCTTGCTAGACAGAGATCTAGACATCCAAATACGAGAAGCTCAAAGAACACCTGGGAAATTTATTGCAAAAAGATCATCACTTAGGCACGCTGTCATCAGGTTATCTAAAGTTAAGATGAAGGAAAAGAATCTTAAGAGCTGTGAGGCAAAAGCACCAGGTAACCTATAAAGGAAAACCTAACAGATTAACAGCAGATTTCTCAGCAGAAACCCTACAAGCTAGAAGGGACTAGGGGTTGGGGTGGGGAGGGCTATCCTTAGCCTCCTTAAACAAAACAATTATAAGCCAAGAATTTTATATCCAGCAAAACTAAACTTCATAAATGATGAAAAGATACCGTCTTTTTAAGACAAATACTGAGAGAATCTGCCAATACCAAGCCAGCGCTACAATAACTGCTAAAAGGAGATATAAATCTTGAAACAAAAACTGCTAAAAGGAGATATAAATCTTGAAACAAATCCTTGACATACACCAAAATAGAACCTCCTTAAAGCATAAATCTCACAGGAACTATATAGCAATAACATAATGGAAAAAAAAACCCACAAGGGTTTTCATATTCGTTCCCATGTTGTGTATTCATAGCACAATGAATAGAATAATACCTAGCATCTCAATAGTAACTGAAATACCTCCACTGGAAAGAGAACAGAATGGCAGAATGGATAAGAATTCACCTAGTATCTGTTGTGAAGAGGCTCACCTAACACATAAGTACTCACATAAACTTAAGGTAAACGGGTGAAACAGACATTCCGTGCAAGAGGACACAAAAAGCAAGCAGGAGTAGCTATTCTTATATCAGAAAAAACAAATGTTAAAGCAACAGTAGATAAAGAAGACAAAGAGGGGCATTATATAATGATAAAAGGACTAGTCCAACAGAAAAATATCACAATCCTAAATATATACGCACCTAACACCACAGCTCCTAAACATATAAAACAATTACTACTAGACCTAAGAAATGAGATAGCAACACAATAATAATATATAGTGGGGGACTTTAATACTCTGCTGACAGCACTAGACAGGTCATCAAGACAGAAAGTCAACGAAGAAACAATGGACTGTAACTTATAACAAAAGGACTTAACAGATATTTATATTAATATTTATTTTTATTTATATTAATATTAGTATTATTTATATATAATTATATATTATTATTTATATTATTTATATTAATAATTTATTATATAATATAATATATTTATAATATATAAGTAATATAATTTTATATTAACAAGTTTATATATAAATAATATAAATATATGATATAAATAATATATAATTATATATAAATAAATATGAATATTAATATAATATATATAAATTATATATTACAAATAATACAAATATAATTAATTTATTTATATTAATAATTTATTATTAATATTAATATAATATTAATATAAAGTCAACAAAGAAACAATGGACTTAAACTATAACTTATAACAAAAGGATTTAACAGATATTTATAGAACATTTTATCCAACAACTGCAGAATATACATTCTATTAATCAGCACATGGAACATTCTCCAAGATAGCCCATATGATAGGCCACAAAACAAGGTTCAGTAAATTTAAGAAAATCTAAACTATGTCAGGTACTCTTTCAGACCACAGTGGAATAAAATTGGAAATCAACTCCAAAAAGGAACCCTCAAAACCAGGCAAAAACATAAAAATTAAATAACCTGCTCCTGAATGATCACTCAGGCAACAATGAAATCAAGACGGAAATTTTAAAATTCTTTGAACTGAACGATAATAGTGACACAACCTAGCAAAACTTCTGGGATACAGCAAAGGCAATGCTAAGTGGAAAGTTCATATGCTTAAACGCCTAACACTGAAAAGTCTGAAAGAGAACAAATAGACAATCTAAGGTCACATCTCAAGGAATCATAAAAACAAGAACAAACCAAACCCAAACCCAGCAGAAGAAATAACAAAGATCAAAACAGAACTAAATGAAATTCCAACAAAAAATAAATACAAAAGGTAAATGAAACAAAAAGCTGGTTCTTTCAAAAGATAAATAAAATTAGTGAGATTAACCAAGACAAGGAGAAGATCCAAAACTCTCAACTAGAATTCACACAGGAGATACCACAACTGATACCACAGAAATACAAAAGTTTATTCAAGCCAACTACGAACACCTTTATGCACATAAACTAAAAAACCTAGAGGAAATGGACACATTCCTGGAAATATACAACCCGCCTAGACTAAACCAGGAAGAAACAGAAACTCTGAACAGACCAATAACAAACAGTGACACTGAAATGGTAATTTAAAAGTTGCCAACAAAAAAAAGTCCAGGACCTGATGGATTCACAGCTGAATTTTATCAGACATTTAAGGAAAAATTGGTACCAATCCTATTGACACTATTCCACAAGATAAAGAGGGAATCCTTCCTAAATCATTCTATGAAGCCAGTGTCACTCTAATACCAAAACCAGGAAAGGATGTAACAAAAAAACAAAACAAAAAACAAACAAAAACATAACAAAACAAAAAAATCGCTGATGAATATAGATGCAAAAATCCTTAACAAAATACTAGCAAACTGAATCCAACAACACTTCAAAAAGATAACCCACCATGATCAAGTGGGTTTCATATCAGGATGCAGGGATGGTTTAAAATACGCAAGTCAATGTTGTCATCACATAAACACAATTAAAAATATAAAAATCACATGATCATCTCAATAGAGCAGAAAAAGCATTTGACAAAATCCAGCACCCCTTTACGATTAAAACCCTCAGCAAAATCAGCATAGAAGGGACATAACTTTAATAAAAGCCATCTATGACATACCCAAAGCCAACATAACACTGAATGGTGAAAAGTTGAAAGCATTCCCCTGAGAACTGGAACAAGACGAGGATGCCCACTCTCACCATTTCTATTCAACATACTGCAAGTCATAGCCAGAGCAATCAAACAAAAGAAAGAAAGAAAGGCCATCCAAATCAGTAAAGAGGAAGTCAAACCGTCACCGTTTGCTGATGACATGATCATATACCAAGAAACTCCTAAAGATTCTTCCAAAAAGCTCCTAGAACTGATAAATTCAGCAAAGTTCCAGGATACAAAGCTAATGTACACAAATCAGTAGCTCTGCTATACACCAACAACAACCAAGGTGAGACTCAAATCAAGAACTCAACCCCTTTAAAAATAGTTGAAAAAAAAATGCTTAGGAGTGGATCTAAGGAGGTGAAAGACCTCTACAAGAAAAACTACAAAACACTGCTGAAAGAAATCATAGATGACACAATCAAATGGAAACACATCCCATGCCCATGGAGAGGTAGAATCAATATTGTGAAAATGGCCATACTGTCAAAAACAATCTACAAATTCAATGCAATTCCCATCAAAACACCACCATCATTCTTCACAGAACTAGAAAAAAAATCCTAAAATTCATATGGAACCAAAAAACTGCCCACATAACCAAAGCAAGACTAAGCAAAAAGAACAAATCTGGAGGAATCACATTACCCAACTTCAAACTATACTACCAGGCCATAGTCACCAAAACAGCATGGTACTGGTATAAAAATAAGCACATAGACCAATGGAACAGAATAAAGAACCCAAAAATAAAGTCAAATACTTACAGCCAACTGATCTTCAACAAAGCAAACAAAAAGATAAAGTGGGGAAAGGACACCTTATTTAACAAATGGTGCTGGGATAATTGGCAAGCCACATGTAGGAGAATGAAACTGGATCCTCATCTCTCATCTTAAACAAAAATCAACTCAAGATGGATCAAACACTTAAATCTAAGACTGAAACCATAAAAATTCTAGAAGATAACATCAGAAAAACCCTTTGAGACAATGGCTTACACAAAGACTTCATGACCAAGAACCCAAAAGCAAATGCAACAAAAACAAAGATAAATAGATGGGACTTAATTCAACTAAAAAGCTTCTGTAAAGCAAAATAAACAATCAGCAGAGTAAACAGACAACCCACAGAGTGGGAGAAAATCTTTGCAATCTATACATCTGACAAATAACTAACATCCAGAATCTACAAATGACTCAGACAAATCAGCAAGAAAAAAACAATCACATCAAAAAGTGGGACTAAGGACATGAACAGACAATTCTCAAAAGAAGATATACAAATGGCCAACAAACATGAAAAAATGCTCAACATCACTAATGATCAGGGAAATACAAATCAAAACCACAATGCGATACCACCTCACTCCTGCAAGATGGTCATAATCGAAAAATCAAAAAATAATAGAAGTTGGTGTGGATGTGGTAAAAAAAGGAAACACACTGCTGGCAGGAATGTGAACTAGTACAGCTGCTATGGAAAATAGTGTGAGGATTCCTTAAAGAACTAAAAGTAAGGCCGGGAGTGGTGGCTCACGCCTGTAATCCCAAGGCCGAGGCGGGAGGATCATGAGGTCAGGAGTTCAAGACCAGCCTGGCCAACATGGTGAAACCCCGTCTCTACTAAAAATACAAAAATTAGCCAGGTGTGGTAACACTCACCTGTAATCCCAGAAACTCACGAGGCTGAGGCAGGAGAATCGCTTGAACCCGGGAGGTGGAGGCTGCATTGAGCTGAGATGGCACCACTGCACCCCAGCCTGGGTGACAGAGGGAGACTCTGTCTCAAAAAAAAAAAGGAACTAAAACTACCATCTGATCCAGCAATCCCACTACTGGGTATCTTCCCAGAGGAAAAGAAGTCATTATATGAAAAAGACACTTGCACACACGTTTATATTTGCAATTGCAAAAACATGGAACCAGCCAAATACTTATCAGTCAACAAGTATATAAAGAAACTGTGGTGTATATATACCATAGAATACTCTCAACCATAAAAAGAAATGAAATAATGGCATTTGCAGCAACCTGGATGGAACTGGAGATCATTATTCTAAATGAAGTAACTCAGGAATGGAAAACCAAACATCCTAAGTTCTCACTCATAACTGGGAGCTAAGCTATGAAGATGCAAAGGCATAATGATACAATGGACTTTGAGGCTTGGGGGAAAGGGTGGGAGGGGGGTGAGGGATAAAAGACGACACATTGAGTACAGTGTACACTGCTCGGGTGATGGGTGCACCAAAATCTCAGAAATCACCACTAAGGAACTTATTCATGTAACCAAACACCACCTGTTCCCAAAAGACCTATTAAAATAAAAAAATAAAAAGACATACCGAAAAACTTTTAAAGAGTCACAAGGCATTACAATAGATACATGATAAAAATGTATCAAGAATATTTACAGCCTGGTGTGATAGCTCACAAGTGTAATCTCAGCACTTTTGAAGGATGAGGAAAGCGGATTGCTTGAGCCCAGGAGTTCGAGATGAGCCTGGGTAACATGGCAAAACCCCATCTCTATTTAAAAAAAAAAAAAAAATTAGCTGGGTTTGTTGGTGCACGCCTGTAGTCCTAGATACTGGAGAGGATGAGGTATTGGGATCACTTGAGCCTGGGAGGCAGAGGCTGCAGTGAGCCATGTGCATGCCACTGCACTCCAGCCTGGGCGACAGAGCAAGACTCTGTCTTAAACCAACGGGAAAAGAAAAAATAAGAGGCCGGGCGCGGTGGCTCATGTGCCTGTAAGCCCAGCACTTTGGGAGGCTGAGGTGGGTGGATCACGAGGTCAGGAGTTCGAGAGCAGCCTGACCAACATGATGAAACCTCGTCTCTACTAAAAATACAAAAATTAGCCAGGCATGGTAACACTCGCCTGTAATCCCAGAAACTCATGAGGCTGAGGCAGGAGAATCGCTTGAACCCGGGAGGTGGAGGTTGCACTGAGCCAAGATCGTGCCACTGCACTCCAGCCTGGGCGACAGAGCAAGACTCTGTCTCCAAAAAAAAAAAAAAACAACGACAACAAAAAAAAGAGTATTTACTAATTTTTGTAATGTACAGGTGATCCCTTTATTGTAACGCACTGACGTTTACTTCATAATTTTTTGAAAATTTTTTTAATAAAACTACTTTATGTCTATCACTACAACAAATGTATTGGTCAAAAAAAATTCCAAAAGATTGTATAACAATTTTCAGTCCTCCTTTTGCTTTCATGTGCCTCCATTTGAATGATAAATTATATTGTCACTCAAGTTGTAACACTGTGAGGAATGTACACAGAAGCAAATTAGTAAAATAAAACAAATTGCCAATTCATATCCCTGAACATGTAATACCCACTGACTCAGGTCTATGCCTTTAACAATGATTGACCTATCTTATCTGGATCCTCATTTATTCAGCAAGAGAGTGTCTGCTATGTATAAGGCACTGTACGAGGTACTGGGGATATACAGGTGAACACCACTGCTGCCCTCACTCTCATGAGAGAGACTTCCACCCAGCAGAGGTGGGAGCAGACACACATACCTGCACCCACACCCATCACTCCATTCCAGGGCACTCACATAATTCCATTTTGTTCCATCAAACTTCTGTATCCCCAATTCTGTAACCAGGCGCAAGGTCTACAAGTGATAGGACCATCTCCATCAAGGTGCCAGAATCAGAAATGTACTCACTGCCCTTCCTCGCACTCAGTCCCAGCATTTTTTCCTTCAGCCACACTAGAGACCAGCATACCAAGGCCTGAAACAGCCCCTAAATTCAATATAAACAGTTCTTTTCTGCCTCTTTTCCTTTGCACATTTTTCCTTGCTGCATGGTGGTCAGCATAGAAATAAGGCTGTAATTATCTATTGCTAACAGATTTTAAAAATATTCTAATGAGCAATCTTTTAAAGGACTTTAGAAGGACAAAGTACTGACTGCAAAAACAGGAGAGGGGAGAGGCTGGTGAGAGCCATGCTCTCGAATGGACACACAGTGGCAAGTGGTATCACAGGAAGGAAAGCCGAAGTCTCAATTCCCAGAACCCATAAGGGAAAGGAAAAAAATAAAAAGTAAACTGAAGCAAACAGAAAATGTATCACACTGGTTTAAAATCCCAACTCCTCTAGGGGGTTGGAATTCTGAAAGCACACGTATAAAATAAATAATTAAAACTCACTTTTTGGTTCTATGCAACTTTTTTCTTCTTTATGTAGTTTTGGGTAGCATTTGTGGCTGACTTAGAAACCTAAGCCTTGGGGAGGAGCCAAGATGGCCGAATAGGAACAGCTCCGGTCTACAGCTCCCAGCGTGAGCGACGCAGAAGACAGGTGATTTCAGCATTTCCATCTGAGGTACCAGGTTCATCTCACTAGGGAGTGCCAGACAGTGGGCACAGGTCAGTGGGTGCAGCGCACCGTGCGCAAGCCGAAGCAGGGCGAGGCATTGCCTCACTCAGGAAGTGCAAGGGGTCAGGGAGTTCCCTTTCCTAGTCAAAGAAAGGGGTGACAGACGGCACCTGGAAAATTGGGTCACTCCCACCCGAATACTGCGCTTTTCTGACGGGCTTAAAAAATGGCGCACCAGGAGATTATATCCCGCACCTGGCTCGGAGGGTCCTGCGCCCACGGAGTCTCGCTGACTGCTAGCACAGCAGTCTGAGATCAAACTGCAAGGCGGCAACGAGGCTGGGAGAGGGACGCCGGCCAGTGCCCAGGCTTGCTTAGGTAAACAAAGCAGCCTGGAAGCTCCAACTGGGTGGAGCCCACCACAGCTCAAGGAGGATTGCCTGCCTGCCTCTGTAGGCTCCACCTCTGGGGGCAGGGCACAGACAAACAAAAAGACAGCAGTAAGCTCTGCAGACTTAAATGTCCCTGTCTGACAGCTTTGAAGAGAGCAGTGGTTCTCCCAGCACGCAGCTGGAGATCTGAGAACTGGCAGACTGCCTCCTCAAGTGGGTCCCTGACCCCTGACCCCTGAGCAGCCTAACTGGGAGGCACTCCCCAGTAGGGGCGGACTGACATCTCACATGGCCGGGTACTCCTCTGAGACAAAACTTCCAGGGGAACGATCAGACAGCAGCATTCGTGGTTCATGATAAACCACTGTTCTGCAGACACCACTGCTGATACCCAGGCAAACAGGGTCTGGAGTGGACCTCTAGCAAACTCCAACAGACCTGCAGCTGAGGGTCCTGTCTGTTAGAAAGAAAACTAACAAACAGAAAGGACATCCACACCAAAAACCCATCTGTATATCACCATCATCAAAGTCCAAAAGTAGATAAAACCACAAAGATGGGGAAAAAACAGAGCACAAAAACTGGAAACTCTAAAAAGCAGAGCACCTCTCCTCCTCCAAAGGATCGCAGTTCCTCACCAGCAATGGAACAAAGCTGGACGGAGAATGACTTTGACGAGTTGAGAAAAGAAGGCTTCAGACGATCAAACTACGAGCTACAGGAGGAAATTCAAACCAAAGGCAAAGAAGTTAAAAACTTCAAAAAAAATTTAGACGAATGTATAACTAGAATAACCAATACAGAGAAGTGCTTAAAGGGGCTGATGGAGCTGAAAGCCAAGGCTCGAGAACTACGTGAAGAATACAGAAGCCTCAGGAGCCGATGTGATCAACTGGAAGAAAGGGTATCAGCGATGGAAGATGAAATGAATGAAATGAAGCGAGAAAGGAAGTTTAGAGAAAAAAAAATAAAAAGAAATGAACAAAGCCTCCAAGAAATATGGGACTATGTGAAAAGACCAAATCTACGTCTGACTGGTGTACCTGAAAGTGACAGGGAGAATGGAATCAAGTTGGAAAACACTCTGCAGGATATTATCCAGGAGAACTTCCCCAATCTAGCAAGGCAGGCCAACATTCAGATTCAGGAAATACAGAGAACGCCACAAAGATACTCCTCGAGAAGAGCAACTCCAAGACACATAATTGTCAGATTCACCAAAGTTGAAATGAAGGAAAAAATGTTAAGGGCAGCCAGAGAGAAAGGTCGGGTTACCCACAAAGGGAAGCCCATCAGACTAACAGCGGATCTCTCGGCAGAAACTCTACAAGCCAGAAGAGAGTGGGGGCCAATATTCAACATTCTTAAAGAAAAGAATTTTCAACCCAGAATTTCATATCCAGCCAAACTAAGCTTCATAAGTGAAGGAGAAATAAAATACTTTACAGACAAGCAAATGCTGAGAGATTTTGTCACCACCAGGCCTGTCCTAAAAGAGCTCCTGAAAGAAGCACTAAACATGGAAAGGAACAACTGGTACCAGCCGCTGCAAAATCATGCCAAAATGTAAAGACCATCAAGACTAGGAAGAAACTGCATCAACTAATGAGCAAAATAACCAGCTAACATCATAATGACAGGATCAAATTCACACATAACAATATTAACTTTAAATGTAAATGGACTAAATGCTCCAATTAAAAGACACAGACTGGCAAATTGGATAAAGAGTCAAGACCCATCAGTGTGTTGTATTCAGGAAACCCATCTCACATGCAGAGACACACATAGGCTCAAAATAAAAGGATGGAGGAAGATCTACCAAGCAAATGGAAAACAAAAAAAGGCAGGGGTTGCAATCCTAGTCTCGGATAAAACAGACTTTAAACCAACAAAGATCAAAGGAGACAAAGAAGGCCATTACATAATGGTAAAGGGATCAATTCAACAAGAAGAGCTAACTATCCTAAATATATATGCACCCAATACAGGAGCACCCAGATTCATAAAGCAAGTCCTGAGTGATCTAAAAAGAGACTTAGACTCCCACACAATAATAATGGGAGACTTTAATACCCCACTGTCAACATTAGACAGATCAACAAGACAGAAAGTCAACAAGGATACCCAGGAATTGAACTCAGCTCTGCACCAAGCAGACCTAATAGACATCTACAGAACTCTCCACCCCAAATCAACAGAATATACATTTTTTTCAGCACCACACCACACCTATTCCAAAATTGACCACATACTTGGAAGTAAAGCTCTCCTCAGCAAATGTAAAAGAACAGAAATTGTAACAAACTATCTCTCAGACCACAGTGCAATCAAACTAGAACTCAGGATTAAGAAACTCACTCAAAACCACTCAACTACATGGAAACTGAACAACCTGCTCCTGAATGACTACTGGGGACATAACGAAATGAAGGCAGAAATAAAGATGTTCTTTGAAACCAACGAGAACAAAGACACAACATACCAGAATCTCTGGGACGCATTCAAAGCAGTGTGTAGAGGGAAATTTATAGCACTAAATGCCCACAAGAGAAAGCAGGAAAGATCCAAAATTGACACTCTAACATCACAATTAAAAGAACTAGAAAAGCAAGAGCAAACACATTCAAAAGCTAGCAGAAGGCAAGAAATAACTAAAATCAGAGCAGAACTGAAGGAAATAGAGACACAAAAAACCCTTCAAAAAATTAATGAATCCAGGAGCTGGTTTTTTGAAAGGATCAACAAAATTGATAGACTGCTAGCAAGACTAATAAAGAAAAAAAGAAGAATCAAATAGACGCAATAAAAAATGATAAAGGGGATATCACCACTGATCCCACAGAAATACAAACTACCATCAGAGAATACTACAAACACCTCTACGCAAATAAACTAGAAAATCTAGAAGAAATGGATAAATTCCTCAACACATACACTCTCCCAAGACTAAACCAGGAAGAAGTTGAATCTCTGAATAGACCAATAACAGGATCTGAAATTGTGGCAATAATCAATAGCTTACCAACCAAAAAGAGTCCAGGACCAGATGGATTCACAGCCGAATTCTACCAGAGGTACAAGGAGGAACTGGTACCATTCCTTCTGAAACTATTCCAATCAGTAGAAAAAGAGGGAATCCTCCCTAACTCATTTTATGAGGCCAGCATCATTCTGATACCAAAGCCAGGCAGAGACACAACCAAAAAAGAGAATTTTAGACCAATATCCTTGATGAACATTGATGCAAAAATCCTCAATAAAATACTGGCAAAACGAATCCAGCAGCACATCAAAAAGCTTATTCACCATGATCAAGTGGGCTTCATCCCTGGGATGCAAGACTGGTTCAATATACGCAAATCAATAAATGTAATCCAGCATATAAACAGAGCCAAAGACAAAAACCACATGATTATCTCAATAGATGCAGAAAAGGCCTTTGACAAAACTCAACAATGCTTCATGCTAAAAACTCTCAATAAATTAGGTATTGATGGGACTTATCTCAAAATAATAAGAGCTATCTATGACAAACCCACAGCCAATAACATACTGAATGGACAAAAACTGGAAGCATTCCCTTTGAAAACTGGCACAAGACAGGGATGCCCTCTCTCACCACTCCTATTCAACATAGTGTTGGAAGTTCTGGCCAGGGCAATTAGGCAGGAGAAGGAAATAAAGGGTATTCAATTAGGAAAAGAGGAAGTCAAATTGTCCCTGTTTGCAGATGACATGATTGTATATCTAGAAAACCCCATCATCTCAGCCCAAAATCTCCTTAAGCTGATAAGCAACTTCAGCAAAGTCTCAGGATACAAAATCAATGTACAAAAATCACAAGCATTCTTATACACCAATAACAGACAAACAGAGAGCCAAATCATGAGTGAACTCCCATTCACAATTGCTACAAAGAGAATAAAACACTTAGGAATCCACCTTACAACGGACGTGAAGGGTCTCTTCAAGGAGAACTACAAACCACTGCTCAATGAAATTAAAGAGGATACAAATGGAAGAACATTCCATGCTCATGGGTAGGAAGAATCAATATCGTGAAAATGGCCACACTGCCCAAGGTAATTTATAGATTCAATGCCATCCCCATCAAGCTACCAATGACTTTCTTCACAGAATTGGAAAAAACTACTTTAAAGTTCATATGGAACCAAAAAAGAGCCCGCATCGCCAAGTCATTCCTAAGCCAAAAGAACAAAGCTGGAGGCATCACGCCACCTGACGTCAAACTATACTACAAGGCTACAGTAACCAAAACAGCATGGTACTGGTACCAAAACAGAGATATAGATCAATGGAACAGAACAGAGCTCTCAGAAATAATGCCGCATATCTACAACTATCTGATCTTTGACAAACCTGAGAAAAACAAGCAATGGGGAAAGGATTCCCTATTTAATAAATGGTGCAGGGAAAACTGGCTAGCCATATGTAGAAAGCTGAAACTGGATCCCTTCCTTACACCTTATACAAAAATCAATTCAAGATGGATTAAAGACTTAAATGTTAGACCTAAAACCATAAAAACCCTAGAAGAAAACCTAGGCATTAATTCCTCAGGGATCTAGAACTAGAAATACCATTTGACCCAGCCATCCCATTACTGGGGATATACCCAAAGGACTATAAATCATGCTGCTATAAAGACACATGCACAAGTATGTTTATTGCGGCACTATTCACAATAGCAAAGACTTGGAACCAACCCTAATGTCCAACAATGATAGACTGGATTAAGAAAATGTGGCACATATACACCATGGAATACTATGCAGCCATAAAAAATGATGAGCTCAGGTCCTTTGTAGGGACATGGATGAAACTGCAAATCATCATTCTCAGTAAACTATCGCAAGAACAAAAAACCAAACACCGCATATTCTCACTCATAGGTGGGAATTGAACAATGAAAACACATGGACACAGGAAGGGGAACATCACACTCTGGGGCCTGTTGTGGGGTGGGGGGAGGGGGGAGGGATAGCATTGGGAGATATACCTAATGCTAGATGACGAGTTAGTGGGTGCAGTGCACCAGCATGTCACATGTATACATATGTCACTAACCTGCACATTGTGCACATGTACCCTAAAACTTAAAGTATAATAATGAAAAAATAAAAAATTAAAATAAATAAATAAAAGAAACCTAAGCCTTATGAATAACATATTTCAAAGTTTCCAGATCAAGCACCAATTTAAAAATAACAAAAAGCTTCAGAACACAAACTATTCCTGAGTTGTGGAGTGCCTGCCAGTAAATGTGGCTGTGACCACAGACACAATGGGGTAGCCTGATCTAGAATATAGCAGGGGGCTGGGGAAGGAAAACTATCAATGCCAGCCAAGATCTGTACTTATGGCAGAAGAGAGTTTCCCAAAGCATGATGTACATCCTCCTAGTGGTCCACCAGATGACTTCTAGATGGCATAAGGATGAATATTTAGATTTATTAACACTGTTTATTATATAATTAGAAGAATCATAAGCCAGCGCCAATTGTTTAAATGGGTAGTGCGGTGATAAGCCCTTTTACACAGACTCACAGTTGCAGGGATGGTGCTTACGCACACCTTGAATATTGAAAATTGTCAGTGACTTTCCACCACAACCATTCAGATGTACAGACAGGGGCAGACTTGGTAGAGTAGGAAGCTCTGACTTCTCATACAGAAACATTTCCAAAAAACAGCAATTATTCTTACAACCAACATTATCAGGACTCTGGAAATAAGTCAAAGATTGGCAGCAGACAAGTGAACATTGAATCAAGAAGCTAGCAACTTCAAAATTACAGGAAAGGTTTGTGGTATTTTTACTTGTACTTGCTGTGCCTCCCTGGCCTGACAGCCTGCATTCCCAGTGGGAAAGTCCCTGGTTCCTGGTTCTAGAGGGAGCACAGCCAACCTTATTCACAAATAATTGTGTAGGTATGTTCTAACCTGACTGAAGGCTATCTAGAAGACCACGGCACGACATCTGAACTTGGGCCCTTAAGCCAGAAAAATGGGGGAGATTGTTCACAAACTAACACCCACAAACACCTAGGCTAAATGATCAAGTTGAGATATACAAACAAGTCCACAGGCACCCCCAGAAAAGCTGCAGGAGAGTTTCTTTGGAAGATCAGGACATTCTAAAGCATGTGGGTGTAAGGGGAAAGACAGCCATGCACAAGCCCAGGGCAAGATGCACGCTCAGAAAGACCTGAGAAGTTTCTCGGCTTTCACCTCAGACTGATCACCTGGCTCAATGCAAACCTGGAGTCACAGAGTTAAATGCAAAAACTAGGAGAAGTGCTCTGTTTTGTTTTGTTTTGTTTGCTTAGCTCCAGGCTTCCAAAGAAATCTCTGCCAAAACACAGTGGAACACAATCTGAGGAACAGAGGCTTCAGTGACCACAAACAATAAGGAATACAGTCTCTACAGAATAGTGTGGAAATGTCACTAAACAGCCAATTCTAGCCTTCAACAACAACAACAAAAAAATCCCAGCAAAACAAGGAAGAAAATCTGATTTCCAGAATTACATTATAATGTCAAATGTGCAGTTTTCAACAGTAACAACAACAAAAACCCCACAAAGCATATAAAGAAATAGGGAAGTACAATTCATTCAAAATAATAAAATAATTGACAGAAACCAGCCAGAAGGAAACCCAGGCAGACTGTCTTAAATAAGCTCAAAAAGCAAAAGAAAGATATGAAGAACTGAAGGAAATCAGAACAATTTATAAACAAAATAAAGAAACACATTTTATAAAGGAACCAAGCAAACATTCTGGAGCTGAAACGTACATAATTGAAATAAAAAATTCACTAGAGAGGCTCAGAAAGTTTTTAACAGAAAAAAATTAATCAACGAACTTGAAGATAGCACAATTAAAATTACTGAATCTGAAAAGTAGAAAGTAAAGAAAATAAAGAAAAAATGAACAGAGCCTAGTAGGCTAGCAGGACACCATCATGCATACCAACAAATAAATTATGGAAGACTTGGGAGAAAAGAAAGGGACAAAGTGATTATCTAAATAAATAATGGACAAAGCTTCCTAAATCTGAAGAAAGACATGATTTACTTATCCAAAGCCAATCAATTCCAAGCCGAATAAGCTCAAAAAGATCCACACTGAGACACATCATAATCAAACTATTGGAAGCAAAAGACAAAAAGAAAATCCTAAAAGCAGCAGGAGGTGACTTGACAAGCACAAGGTATCCTTAATAAGATTAATAGCTGATTTCTCAACAGAAATCATGGAAGGTAGAAATCAATGGAACAACATATTTAAAATGCTGAAGCCAGGCATGGTGGTGTGCACCTGGAGTCCCAGCTACTTGGGAGGCTGAGGCAGGAGATCACTTGAGCCCAGGAGTTTGAGGCTTACAGTGAGCTATGATCATGCCACCGCACTCCAGCCTGGGCAACAGAGCAAGACCCAATCTCTTAAAAAAAAAAAAAAAAAAAAAGCTGAAAGTTAAAAAAAAAACCTGTTAAAAGTCCTATATCCAGCAAACTAACGTTGAAACTGAGGGGGAAAGTAAGACATTCCCAGATAAATAAAAGCTGAGGAAGTTCATCACCACTAGACTTTCCCTGAAAGAAATGCTTCAAGTGAAAGCATGCTAAACAGTAACTCAAAGCTGAAAAAGAAATAAAGCTCTCTGGTAATGGTAAATACATGAGCAAATATAAAAGCCAGTAGTACTGTATTTAGGAATTTTGAATGTACTTTTTCTTTCACACATGACTTAAGAGAAATACACAGGCTGGGTGCGATGGCTCCCGCCTGTAATTCCAACACTTTGGGAGGACGAGGTGGGCGGATCACTTAAGGTCAGGAGTTTGAGACCAGCCTAGTCAACATGGTGAAACCCCGTCTCTACTTAAAATCCAAAAATTAGCTAGGCGTGGTGGCACATGCCTGTAATCCCAGCTACTCGGGAGGCTGAGGCAGGAGATCACTTGACCCTGGGAAACAGAGGTTTCAGTGAGCCGAGATCATGCCACTGCGCTCCAGCCTGGGTGACAGAGTGAGGCTCTGTCTCAAAAAAGAAAAAAAAGGACAAATGCATGAAAAATAATTATCAATCCATGTTATTGAGCACACAATGCATAAAATATGTACTTTGTAAGAACATAAAGGGAGCAGATGGAGCTGTATAGACAGACATTTGTATGCTATTGAAGCTGATATTGACTTAAACAACAACATCAATTGTGGATATTACATATAATTCCCATGATAACCACAAAGAAAATATCTAAAAGCTATATATTCAAAAGGAAATGAGAAGGGAATCCAAACAATCCATTATTAAAAAGAAAAAAGATCAACTAATCACAAATGGTAGTAATTAAGGCAATGAGGAACAAAAGTATAAGGCAGAAAACAAATAGCAACATGGAAGAAGTGCTTGTCAGTAGTAACTTGAAATGTAAATTAAACTTTTCTGACAGAAGGCAGAGACTGGCAGAATGGATATAAAAACATTATATAACTATATGTTATCTACAGGAAACTCAAGATTCAAAAACAAAAAGGTTGAAAGGGAAAGTAGTAAAAAATATATTAAATGTAAATAGTAAGCAAGAGAAAGCTGGAGGTGGCTACACTAATATCAGACAAAACAGACTTTAAGTCAAAAACTGTAACAAGACACAAAAGATGGTGACATAAAGGCCAGTTCAACAAGAAAATATAACAATTATAAACATGTAAGCACCAAACAACAGTGCTCCAAAATACATGAAGCAAATATTGACAAAGCTGAAGGGAAAAAGATAGCTTTACAATAACAGTTGGAGAATTCAATACACTACATTTTCAGTACAGGACAGATTATCTAGAAGATCAAAACAGGACTTGCACAACACTATAAACCAACTAGACCTAACACTTCACCAAACAGCAGAATATACCTTCTTAAGTGCATATGAATCATTTTCCAGAACAGACCAAATGTCAGACCTCATAACAAGTCTCACATTTTAAGAAATTGAAATCTTACAAAGTTATCTTGTGGAATGAAGCTAGAAATTAACACCAAAAGAAAAATGGGAAAATCCACAAATATGTGGAAATTAAAACAACACCCTCCTTCAACAACCATGGGTCAAAAAAGAAATCACAAGGGAAAGTAGAAGACACTTAGGGATGCATGAAAACAAAATCACAACACAGAAAAAGTATGCAATGTAGTGAAGGCAGTGGTCAGAGGAAAGTTTATAGATGTAAAGGTTACATTAAAAAAGAAAAAAAGATCTCATGTCAGCAGCCTAACTTTACACCTTAAGGAGCTAGAAAAAGAAGAGCAAAGTAAACCCGAAGGTACCAGAAGGATGAAAATAATAAAGATTACGGGTAAGATACATAGAGAATAGAAGAAAAGAAAAATCAATGAAATTAAGAGTTGGTTATTTGAAGAACTCAATAAAAATTGAGAAACCATTAGCTGGACAGAGAAAAAAAGAAAAGACACAAATAACTAAAATTAGAAATAAAGGTGAGGACCATTGAATCAATGGATACTAAACCACCTGCTCATAAGGTAAATATGCACACACATATCTCACATAGATTATAATCCTACAAACAACTGATCCTAGTCGATTCTATTTTACAGAATGGAGAAAATGAAACTCAAAAATGTTAAGTGACTTGCCTGAGACCGTCCCACTAACAGGTGCCAGAGTTGAGATTTAAACCACTTCAAGTGGCTCTGAGGCCAAAGGTTTTGGTACTACACTGCATTACCCCCATCACTTCCACCCGCTGGTGGTCTCACAGCTGAAACAAGGCAGTGTGTTGTTATGGGCAGTCTCAGCTAGGAAGATGTGTGTCAGGTGACTCTCTTTTTTTTTTTTTTTTTTGCCATTCTAGGTGTATGTATAAATGACCATGAAACCACTGCATTATTAATTTTTGGGTTACAAATAAATTTTAGCAAATAGGCAAATATGGAATCCATGAATAATGAGGATTGGCTGTTCGAGCAAACCAAATCTAACATCTAAAAGGATTATAACCAAATGGGATTTATCCCAGGAATACAAGGGTGGTTTAATATGAGAAAATCAATCAATGTAATATATTGCATTAGAAAAATCAAAGAAAGGAAAACCACAGGATCACCTCAATCAATGCAGAAAAGGCACTGATAAAATCTAACTCATGATTAAAACATTCAACACACTGGGAATAGAAGAGAACTTCCTCAACATGATAAGGACATTTATGAAAAACTCACAGCTAATACACTCAATTGTGAAGTGTATAACTGGAAGTTATAGCCAGAGTAATTAGACAAAAAACAAACGGCATCCAAATTGAAAAGAAGTAAAACTATCACTACTCATTCACAATTCTATATATAGGACACGATCCTATATATAGAAAATCCTGAAAAATCCACAGGAATGCTACTAAAGCTAATAAATTCAGCAAAGTTGCAGGATAACACACAAAAATCAGAGTGTTTCTATATACTAGCAATGCATGCTAACCAAAAGTGATAGGTTCATGCAAGGCCTATCAAAATTCCAACAGCTAGTGGGGCACGGTGATTCATGCCTGAAATCCCAGCACTTTGGGAGGCCGAGGCTGGCGGATCACCTGAGGTCAGGAGTTCGAGAACAGCCTGACCAACATGGTAAAACCCTGTCTCTACTAAAAATACAAAAATTAGCTGGGCTTGGTGGTGGGCACCTGTAATCTCAGCTACTCAGGAGGCTGAGGCACAAAAATTGCTTGAACTCAGGAGATGGAGGTTGCAGTGAGCCGAGATCATGCCACCACACTCCAGCCTGGGCAACAGAGTGAGACTCTGTTTCAAAGAAAAAAAAAATCCAACAGCCTTTTTTGCAGAAACGGAAAAGCTTGTACTCAAATTCATATGGACTTGCAAAAGGTCCCAGAAAGTCAAAACAATCTTGAAAAAGAAACAGTTGGATATGTCACCCAAAGGATGAACAGCAAAAGAAAAAAAAATAGGTAAACTGAACTTTAACCAATTAAAAACTTGTGTGTTTCAAAGGACATTATCAAGCAAGTGAAAAGCCAACATAAAAATATTTGCAAATCATATCTGGTAAGGTAAGGGCTTAATAACCAGAATATATAAAGAACTCAACAAAACTCAACAACAATGACAAATAACCCAATGAAAAATGGGCAAAGGACTAGACATTTCTCCAAAGAAGACATACAAATAGCTAATAAGCATATCAAGTGATGCTCATCGTACTCATTAGGAAAATGCAAATCAAAATCACAATGAAATACTACTTTAAATCTATGAGGATGACTATAATTTTAAAAATGGAAAATAAGTGCTGCCGAGCCGAGCGCTGCTAGTGGAAATGTAAAATGGTGTGGTCATTGTGTAAAATAGTTTGACAGCTCCTCAAAAAGTTAAACATCGAATTACCATATGACCCAACAATGATCCACCATGCAACCCACAGGACCCACTCCTAGACATATATACCAAATACCTGAAAACAGGGACTCAATTATATACTGGAATTATCAAGGTACATGGTAGCATTCACAGTAGCCAAAATATGGAAACAACGCATATGTCCACTAAGATGAATGGATACATAAAATGTGGTGTATCTATGTAAGAGTATTATTCAGTCATAAACAGGAATAAAGTGCTGATACATGCTGGAACACGGATGAACCTTGAAAACATTATGCTAAGTGAAGGAAGCCAGACACAAAAGGACAAATACTACAAGATCTCCCTTATATCAAATATCTAGAATAGGCAAATTCACTGAGGCAGAAAGTAGAATAGAGATTTCCAGGGACTGGGGGAAGCGAATGGGGAGTTTTTACATAATGGTTACAGAGTTTCTGTTTGGGGAAATTAAAGAGTTTTGGAGAGACAAATAAAATACAAATACAAATATAACATTGTGATTAATATCATGGAATTGTACATTTCAAATTGTTATAATGGCAAATGTTAGGTTACGTATATTTTACCGGTTACAAAGTTTCTGTTTGGGGGAATTTAAAAGTTTTGGAGATACAAATACAACATTGGATTAACATCATGGAATTGTATACTTAAAATGGTTATAATGGCAAATGTTAGGTTACATACATTTTACGGTTACAAAGTTTCTGTTTGGGGGAATTTAAAAGTTTTGGAGATACAAATACAACATTGTGATTAACGTCAGGGAATTATATACTTAAAATTGTTATAATGGCAAATGTTAGGTTACATGTATTTTATTACAAGAGAAAAGGACTACAGATAGTATGGAAGGCATGCATGAATGCCAATCAAGATTTCTGAACACTGACTTTCCATGTGTATCCATGCACTCTTACCAGTGACAGACCAAAAGTCACCCCTAGAAGCCAGCAATATTTTAGTAGGTATGTTATGTTTAAGTATACATAATTTGGAAATGGAATTGGGACTGTTCTCTGAATATTTGTTCTTTGTGTTGAACCCATCATGGATAAGATCAATTAGGTAATTAAAAAGAGTCTTAAAGGTAAATGTCACGGAAATATACTAAATTACTAAGTGTTTTTGCTAAAATGCTAAAATAAACTTATCTACTCCTTGTTTATATATGGAAGCCAACTCAAAATGTTACAATTTGTTAAGAAAAGCTGCTGAATCCTGCACTTTTCCCCTCTGCTTTCTATAGAGATAGGTGGTGTCGACTTCTTACGACAATGCACAGCCATGTCTACGTCAGAGCACAGAAGGAATTGGGCAGGCTTCAGGAATCAGTGTATTCTGCTAAGTTATTTGTTCATTTAAAGCACCTGAATTTATCCTTACAAGGTGGTACTGGACATGCAAGAAGAGAGAAATTCCCTTGTGAGCACAGAAGTAGACCTGTGGGGTCACATCTGAACAACAAAACACAGGACGGTTTTGTTGTTGTCTACATGACTGAGACAAATATTAATCTGAAAACTCACTGAAAATATTTTGCACATTATGAAGAGAACTGAAAACACATGAAATAGGGTTTCATTTTCCATAGCAGATGGCAGCAATGTGTGGCAAAGGGCCCTCTTATCCCACTGTCTGGATACTACACACATACTTTGACACATTCAGATAGATTCCAGAGAATGGCTGCTGGTGGCTCCTGGAGACCCAAGCCACCCTCATTGCCAGGATTAGAAATTATTGGTATTCAACCAAAATAAAGAAAATGGTAAAATAGCTTTTATACTTTACAAGTGTACACATGTGAATTGACTCTCAGGCTGGTTATTCCAAAACTATTAACAGATGAATGGTACCATTGATTTTTTCCCCCCAGATTAAATTTGTAGCTTTGTTAATGCTTTTTATATTTCTATTTAAGCTGAATGATACTCCATTTATGGCAAAATAATATTTACGTTTAAAAGAAAAGGCTGTTAAGAAGCTGATTTTGCCGGGCACAGTGGCTCACATCTACAATCCCAACACTTTGGGAGGCTGAGGTGGGTGAATCACCTGAGCCCAGGAGTTCAAGACCAGCCTGGGTGACACAGTGAGATGCCCCCCGCCAACCCCATCTCTACAGAAAGAAAAAAAAAATAAAGAAAAGAAAAATTTGCCAGGCACTGTGGTGTGCACCTGTAGTCCTAGCTACTCAGGAAGCTGAGTTGGGAGGATCGTTTGAGCCCACGAGGTCAAGGTTGTAGTGAGCCATTGACACCACTGCACTCCAGCCTAGGTGACAGAGCAAAACCCTATCTCAAAAAAATAAATAAATAAAAAGCTGATTTACTTAAAGAAAAAAGTAACCATTTGGCTGGTACATACGTTATTGCAACAACCACCAAGAACAACTAAAATTTGGAAAATTATTATATGGCTACAATTACCTCAAATGGACAATGTAGGTGCATATTTTAATCTATGTACTCTGAAAGGAGCATGCTTTAAATCTGGTAAGCCACAAATATTAGGAACACATGGAAACCCAAGGATCGCTTTTTTTTTTTCCCCCGAGATACAGTCTTGCTCTAGAGCCCAGGCTGGAGTACAGTGGTGTGATCTCAGTTCACTGCAACCTCCGCCTCCCGAGTTATTCAAGTGATTCTCATGCCTCAGCCTCCTGAATAGCTGGGATTACAGGTGCATGCCACCACGCCCACCAATTTTTGTATTATTAGTAGAGACGGGGTTTCACCATGTTGGCCAGGATGGCCTCAAACTCCTGAGCTCAAGTGATCCGCCCGCTTCGGCCCCCCAAAGTGCCGGGATTACAGGCATGAGCCACCACGCCGGGCCACAAGGAATGCTTTTATATGAAGAATTCCCATATGACCGACTGGGCGTGGGGTGGCTGAGGCAGGAGAATCACTTGAACCCGGGAGGTAGAGGTTGCAGTAAGCCGAGATCACACCACTGCACTCCAGCCTGGGCGACAGAGTGAGAGTGAGACTCCGTCTCAAAAAAAAAAAAAAAAAAAAAAAAAAAAAGAATTCCCATATGACCATGATAATCACCTCTCCTCTGATTTACATTTTGTTGTGCTTTTTTCTTCAGAGAGCTGTTCTCCTAAGATTTATATTTTGTATACCTCAACTTTCACTTGGACCATAAAGGCACTAGAACCACAAAGATGAAAAGGCAAGAAAGAAATGAATAATGATAAAGGTAAAATGAGATTCTACATGACATCATTAATAAGATGAATACAATCAAAAGCCAGGTTAGAAAATGTAAAGATGGCTCCCACTGCTATTAATACTGAAACCTATTCTGTGCCAAGAACTGAGTAAGATGTAAGACAATTCTGGTTGTGGATGTCACATTCCAGATGTGAGTCAAGGCCTGCGGATGTTTTACAGATTTCAAGATGTCTCATGATTCCCGTGTTTCTGCACGCTGCAGGCTGCCGCTCTGCCTTAGTGTCCACTATATTTCTATTTTCACAGGCGTTTTGCAGGACTGTTTCCACACCTGCAATTAAGGTATCTCAGTCATCTTGTGGGCATCACTTCCAATCACTTCCCAGTGCACTCACAAGGGAACTGGTTTAATTTGGTCCTGTTTTCCTTCATATAGCTCCTCAAAGTTTTCCTGTCTATGCAGCCTCTTCTTAAATACAATCTGGTGGGGGAGAACATAACATCCACTAGTGAGAGGGCTGTGGTGAAGATCAAAGTCCCTCGATTCCCTCACTGGGATGCCTCCCGAAGGTCCAAGAGCCAAACCTCAGGACCCCAAAGGTCCGATGCTGCCAGAGAGAGAGAGAGGAAAATAGCAGAACCCAACCCTCAGAGGAACCCATCTCTTTACCGTGGTACAAGCTGGGTTCAGAAAGTTGAACCTGATATGTAAAACTTTGCTGTGAGGAGGGAGAAACGCCTAGCTTTATAGCCTAACATCAGGGAAGCTGTCTTTAACATCTGTTGTCTCACCACAGAGTAAATCAGGTATTTTTCACGATCACTTTCAAGTCACAGAGGTATATTCAGAGCCCTGAAATAACAGGGAAATGCTACAACTGCTGAAAAACCACACTTTAAAATCTACCTGTTGGGTGCATTTATGCACTTTTGGGGAAAATCTAGCTCTCTGTGCTGGCATCTGTGGCTCTAAGAGCTCTCTGTGCATCTGTGTGGCCATAGGATGAATCACCACAGAGAACACAGAGGGAGATGGATTAGGAATCAGCCTGCATTCCCCACCACGGCCTAGGATGGCCCCTCTCCTCATTTCTCTGGCTACTCAGCCTCCCTTAACAACTCTTGTCCTGCTGAAGTCACCACCAGACCTTCCACTCCACCACCAGTATCTGGTACATTCTCATAACACAGGGTTTCTTGACTTCAGCACTACTGGCATCTGGGGCCAGGTAACTCTTGGTGTGGGGCCATCCTATGCATGGCAGGATGTTCAGCAGAATCCCTGGCCTCTACCCATAAGATGCCAGGAGCACAGCCCCTCAACCCCAACCTGGCTATGACCATCACAAAATGTCTCCAGACATTGCCAAATGTCCCTTGAGGGTGAATTTGATCTACCTCCCCCTCTGAAAACCACTGTCATAAACACCTGATATCAGATTATGAGATCAGAGAAGAAATAAGCAGAGATCAAGGAAGATGGCATCACTAGTAACCTCTCTGACCTGAAGTTCTTAACTACAAAATTGCAGATACCTGAGCCTCAAGATGTTGTCATGATGATACCTTTAAAGCAATGAGCTGGACCCCAAAAACAGCAAGTTCCCAATACATGAAGGTTGTCAACAGACCAGAAAGAAAAAGGGCAGAAGCCACCACTATCTGGTAGACATGACAAATTTTTAAGTCTGGGCAAACCCCTCAGCCACCTGTCCAATGAGGGAGTGGGAACATCTTAACAAAGGAAGCTTGAGAACCAATGATTGACACACGTAATTCTTTACTTCTATGAGTTGAGTATGAATAAAGTATCCCCAAATTTCAACATACAAGTAAGACTTTAATGATTTATAATAAAAGCATTAAATCCAATGCACATAAATAACATCCCTATTCACGAAAAATGAAAAACTGGTGAAGAGCTACACACACACACACACACACAGAGAGAGAGAGAGAGAGAGAGAGAGAGAGAGAGAGAGAGAGAGAGAACGAACCTAAAAAGAAAAAGAGCCAGGTAGCATTTCCATTATCAAGGTATAAAAACAGTTGGATTTATGGACAATACTCAGACTCCCAGTGCTCACCTCTGTGGGGTATCAGGAAGCACTCCCAATTCACAGGGACCTACAGAGAGGATAGCAGTGACACCGCACCTGCATTAACTTTTACAACAGACCTGTGGTCTTAAAGGCAGGAAGGGATCAATCCCTGGAAAAAGAAAAAGTAACTGAATAAATAAGCCCTCGTGCCTCTCTCCTCAGTCACCTGGTGATACAGTTACACTCAAGTTAACATGATTTTTACATCCACAGTTTTCATGCTAAGCAATTGTGGTCAGAGTCAGCTTTCACACCTTACCCATTTAGCATCTCTACTACGGAATACAACTGTGCCTCCCTCCTGAAGAAGGAAAATTAATCTGGTGATAAAAATGCCCAGACAAAGCAGGATAAGCATAATATGAGTAGGAAAACAAGGCACCCACAAGAGAAATGTCCATTTGCTCATGGAAGACAATCAAATTGTGGCCCAAAAGTCAATAAACTCTATGCATCTAATGAATACATCTCCAATCTCAGACTCACACTGAAGAAAATTCTAACACCCCCAAGGTCCGCACAATCAACTAAGGGCAAAGACTGCTGACTAATTCAGCTGTTCACTGTACATACCTCACACCGCATTAACACAGGGAGGTATCAAACACCTTCAAAAGGCTTAGAAAATCTCCCTTTCATAGAAACAATCTTTCTTAGAAAGGTTTAACAATATCAATACCATTTATATTGCCCACACTCCTTTTCTTGGTGTTTTCCATTTTATTTTATTTTATATTTTATTTTATTTTTTGAGACAGGGGCTCACTTTATCACCCAGGCTAGAATGCAGTGGCACAATCTCCACTCACTGCAGCCTCGACCTCCAGGCTCAAGTGATCCTCCCATCTCAGCCTCCCAAGTAGCTAGGACTACCTGTATGTGCCACCATACCCAGCTGATTTTTGTATTTTTTGTAGAGAAGTGGTTTTGCCATGTTGCCAAGGCTGGTCTTGAACCCTGGGCTCAAGCAATCTGCCCGCCTCAGCCTCCCAAAGTTCTGGGATTACAGGCGTGAGCCACTGTACCTGGCCTCTTTTCCATATTAAATGTAAATAGCTACTATCTTACTTAAGCATTTAAAGGCTGACAAAATACAACTTTAGTTGTAGCCACAAAACAAGAAGTGCCAATGCCTAAACGTTTTTAATATGAAAAAGATGTTATTTCAGTTTCTTTAGAAGATATTTTGTCTCAAGCAATGAGACTACAGACAAATTCATCTAATTCTGACGCAGCAACCAGCCCAAAACAAACCCTAGTACACACAGAAGTTTAAACTTTGGAAGTCACGATGAGTCATGAATAATACAAAAACGGTGGCTAATTGATTATGAGATTTAGGCCCTCAAGACACAACACTGGGCAGAATAAAGTCCAGATATGTAAATTACAGACTTAAAAGTTTAAAATGATAAAAATACTAACTTTAACAAAAATTCCCACATCACTTACCTTCTAGTGAGCTAAGAAATGCAAATTAAAAGATAACACTTTTCTATCAAATGAGCTAAGTTTTGAATGTACTGTCTAGTGGTGGCTCGTAAGGGAATGTTCAGATGGTCACTCAGGTACTGCCGGTGGGAGTGAGTAGCTGGCTCTGACAAAAGCCATGGCTTCTGATCCAGGAATTTCACAGTTTTTTTTTTTTTTAATTCTCTTAAAAAGGAAAGGGTGATTGAAGAGTAGGTCACAGTATTACTTGTAACTGTGTACCTGTAATTAAAGGCCTGAGGGAAAGAGCACACAGTTCAATGCATGAGTATTAGGCTCCGGCTGAAGTTAGCTGGCTCCCAGGTCTCTTTAGGAGGCTCCATACCTCACAGGTGACATACTCTTTCACATACAACACAACTGCAAAAGAAAGATACCACCAAAAAAATACAATGCCTGTAGGAATAACTAGATTTCGCAACAATACAACAGGCAAGACACAATATATTTATTAGTTGTATTTCTAAAAGCATTTTGATGATATCAGGAAATGCTCATGACTTATAAAAAGCAGGACACAAACACTGTTAACTGTGTTCAAGGTGGGTATATGAGAATTGGGGGTGTCCCTTGAGGGGCAAGTGGAACCTCAGTACACCTCAAATCTATACTAGACACAATTTTATACTGTCTCAGCTAAAACACATAGGTGTCAGCTTATTATCATTTCCCCACTACAGTCATGCAATCAGACCAATTTTTTGCTCACTATGAAATCAAAATATAGGCTGGGCACAGTGGCTCATGCCTGTAATCCCAGCACTTTGGGAGGCTGAGATGGACAGATCACTTGAGCTCAGGAGTTCAAGACAAGCCTGGGCAACATCGCAAAACCCCGTCTCTACTAAAAATACAAAAATTAGCCAGGCATGGTGGTAGTCCCAGCAATTCAGGAGGCTGAGGTGGAAGGACTGCCTGAGCCTGGGAGGTGGAGGTTGCAGTGAGCCAAGACTGTGCTACTGTGCACTCTAGCCTTGGTGACAGAGTGAGACTCCATTAAAAAAAAAAAAAAAAAAGAAAGAAAGAAAAATAAATCAAAGTATAACTGCTTCTTCTGTAACAATATCTGCAAAGTACTTAAAACAATACCCAGCAGATGGGAAATAAAAATAAATCTTCGTAGTAGTAGTTTCTTGGGGCTATTTGTATTTTTGGCTTTGTAAAATGCAACCCCTTTACTACTTACAAAATCCAAAATAAAACTCTTAAAGTCAACCTACATACACAAAAATAATCAAGAGAATTTTGACAAAAAAAAAAAACAGGGACGCGAGAGATTTGCGTGCTTGATGCTCAGTGCGTCCTCTACAGCTGGGGTAACGACAGCTCTGCCACTGCTACTGAATATGAAGCTGAACAGAAACTTCAGAAATATACAGAAATTTAGTGTATGCCAACGGGTAGCATTTTTAAAACATGAAATTCAATAAACTATTGGGGCAACTGGTTATTTCACGTGGAAAAATTTTAAAGCTCAATCTCTATGTTCCCAAACATAAACAATAATATCCTCCAATAGGATAACGTCAAAAAAAAAAAAAACCTATAAAAATACTCAAAGAAAATATAGGAGGGTGTTTATAATGTTGATAAAGAAAAGGACTTTTTAACCAAGACACACAAGCCAGCTGTCATAAAGAAAGAGTTGATGATAAACACATTCTGTAGAGCAAAAAATACATATATTTTTAAAAGCCAAAACAGGCAGTAAATTAGGAGAAAATGCTGACACGGGACCACTGAATATAATATGGAAAGTGCCAACTGCCTGATCGAAGAACATTAAATAGGCACACCTTGGACAAGGGAAAAAAAAAAGGTAAAAAAAAAAAAAAAAAAAAGTGAAATCTCACTATTACAACAATCACATGCCAATTTCTGTCCATTAGATTAGCAAAAATTAAAGACTGATAATAACCAGTATTGATACACATGCAGGAAGGCAGGCACTCAATCTGTGAGTATGAACAAATACACTGGAAGGCAATCTGGTTATACAGATTTTTTAAATGTGTGTTCCTTCTGACATAGTAAGTCTATTGGAAAAAACTGTAAACAACCTAAAAATCAACAGAGAAATGGCTAAATGACAGTATTCTACACTAAGGAATAAAACTATGAGGCTCTTAAGTAGAGAAGGTTGATATGTGGTAACTGACTACATAGTGACATACAAAATATTCTTAAGTTCCAAAATTAAAAGGCTTATAGCTATATTTATATAAACCTCTGGTGCATGTTTAAAAATCTATTTATGTGATACACGATATATACATAAACATATGCATATATACACATACATACATATTCAGGCATATTCTGGAAGGTTAGGGTTGAGGGAGGGTGAGAACACAGACATATCCTATTTCCATCTGTAAGTATTTGTTATTACTAGTATAAAAGCATAAGCATGTACTATTAAAGCTCAAGTTCCTACTGGCAGCTTTAAAAATCGGACTTTGGGATTGAAGAGAAGGCAAACTAAGGGTCACAAACCAGGAAAAATGAGAATATTTCTGAATAAGAGATCTGTTACCAAGGGACTGGCAGACCCTACAACACTGCCCCTTAATCTGGCTGGCTCTCTTCATCCTCTCCCTCTTCTTTGAATGGATTCCATCAAAACCCTACAACAAGCTGACATGAATCCCACATGGCACATCTGTAGGATCTATTCTCAATCCTAAATTTGGGCTGGGTGGGGTGGCTCCCACCTGTAATTCCAGCACTTTGGGAGGCTGAGGCGGGCAGATCATTTGAGGCAAGGAGTTCGAGAGCAGCCTGGCCAACATGGTAAAACCCCATCTCTACTAAAAATACAAAAATTAGCCAGGCATGGTAGCCGGCTGTAATCCTAGCTACCAGGGAGGCTGGGGCACGAGAATTGCTTGAACCTTGGAGGTGGAGGCTGCAGTATGAGCCAGGACTGCACCACTGGACTCCAGCCTGGGCAACAGAACAAGACCCTGTCTCCAAAACAACAACAATAACAAAATACTAAATTTGTCTGTAAACTCTACTTTTCTAATATTAAGTCCTCACAGTGAACTGAAGCAGAACTTCCTCTTGTTATAAGTTAAATTCCTTTGACCTCTTAGGTTGACTCTGCATATGCTCCATGAACAGTAAAATACCTGTTCAGTTTCACTTTCTAATAGGTTCAAGTCAATTACTTAAAGGTTGTTTTTCCCCTCTCATGATTTCAACTCTAAAATAATTAACTAACATAAAAATAGCTGCTTACACAAAGTTTAAGAAAACTTACTTCAACATTTTAAGAAAGTTTAAGAAAACTTACTTCAACATTTTAAGAAAATGTTTTGTTCCCAAAAGTTTGCCAAAAATAATTTTAACTCAATGTGGAAATGAAAATAATGGGAATGCTACCTATCCAGATGCACCAAAAGTTCATTGTTATTAGAAATAAAAAATACTTGGCCAGGTGCAGTGGCTTATCCTGTAATCCCAATGCTTTGAGAGGCCAAGGTGGGTGGATCACTTGAGTTCAAGCTGGAGTTCAAGACCAACCTAGGCAATGTGGTAAAATCCTGTTTCTACAAAAAAAAAAAAAAAAAAAATTAGCCAGGCATAGTGGCACACTTCTGTAGTTCCAGCCGGGAGGCTGAGGTGGAAGGATCGTTGGAGCCTGGGAGGCTGTGGCTGCAGTGAGCCATAATCGCACCACAGCACTTCCAGCCTGGGCTACAGAGCAAGATCCTGTCTTGAAAAAAAACAGAAAAACGAAAAAACAAATTGCACCAACAATTCTGTTTACAAGTCTGAGATAGAAACTTGAGGCAAATTCCACCAAAACATCAAGAAACAACTAATTAGATTCTAATAACAATCGGATAAAATAAAACCAGAACAGCATGTGCACATATACACACACATGCACAAATGGATCCGTCAATCTCACAGCAGATATTTACACATCCTAAACACATAATTTAGCAAAATGAATCCATCAGTGGCAGAAGAATAAATGATAACCCAGTAGAGTAAGTCCCTGAAATAACAGGGTAATTCAGTCCTAGAAAATCTGTCACTACCATCATTAGATACAGGAGAAAACCTAAGAATATCAGCGGATGCTGCAAAAGCACACCATCAAATTAAAACCCACTCATGATTTTAAAAAGTAACAAAGACCTCTTCGCCAGCAAATCTGGATAGAATATCTACAACTAGACATTTTTGGGAATGCTCATACTTCAATGGTGAAACACTAGAAGCACTCCAGTAGGCGAAGATGACGACGGCAGTGTTCTCTACCATGTTACTACTCAAAATGGTCCTGGAAGTTCCCAGCCTACACCAGATGAGAAAATGAAATGGATGCATAAACACAAGGAAAAGCAAGTACGAACTATAATTAATTCGAAGGTAGAAGACTGCCGACTCCAAAATCCTAGAGCTCTAACTGACCATTAAAACAGTGTCCAGCAAAGGAACAAGGTAAACATATGAAAACTTAGTGATTTTCCTATACAACGGCAATCAATTAGAAATCAGTCTTTTTGAAAATCCTATTCGTAATAGCTAGAAAAACAACCTAAGAATAAATCTAAAAGAAAACAGACAAAACTACAATACACAACACACACATACAAATGCACATATACCTATACATTCAGCTATAAAACTTTACTCAAGGACAGAAGAAGACAAGTAAATTGGGAGAAATACCATGTTCAGAGATGAGTATCAGAAGGCTCAACACTTCACATACCTAGTCTCCAACCCAAATTAATCTAGAAATTCAATACAATCTTCAGCCATGAAAAAAAAAAATCCCTACTAGAATTTTTCACAGAACTTGACAGGCTGATTTTAAATTTCCTATAGAAGACTGTGGAATTTCTTTAAAAGCCAATATAATTTTGAAGAATTACAGCAAAGGGGAGGGATAGGCAACTTGATATGAAAACATTATAATGCTATGGCCATTAAAACAATGTTATAAAGAATAAAGACTATGTAAATTGATCACTGAAACAAAGTAAGAGTCAGATTGATACAACCAGTTTGGAGGGCAATTTAGCAGGATGTTTAAGTTAAAAATGTTCACACTCTTCTATCCAGCTACTTTCTGGGCACATGTACACAAGACGTGCCCTAGAGTGAGTTCACCGCTACACCGGACATCCCAAAAAAACAAAAGCTGCAGACAACCTTAATGTCCTTCAATGGGGAAGTGACTAATCATTTAACACTGCAGAAGTAAAGTTAGGAAGCAACTAAGAAAGAATGAGACAGGTCTACACACACCACACAGAGTGATCTTTAGAGGTATCTAGGGCATCTTGTTGATGGAAAAAGTTACATCATATCGTTTGTGTACATTCTAAACACACATTGGCAGTACTTTCTATGTTCACTATAGAAAACATGTATACAAAACCATGTCCCTACAAATCACCAAAGATCTTGTTAAGATGCAGATTCCAATTCAACTGGATTGGGGCGGTGCCTCAGAGTCTGCATTTCTAACCAACTCCAGCAAGCTTGATGCTGCTGCCAGTCCATGGACCACCCTGCAGACAGCAAAGGCACAGGAGATGATGTGGAAGGTTCCAGGGGAGACCAACACTAAGAGCTGATGAATGGGGAAGAGGGTGGAAGACAACAGTCAAGTGAGATGGCCAACAGGAGTCTTTATAATGTTCCAGACCAGCCCGGGTAACAGTGAGACCCATCTCTAAACTAAATAAATTAATTTAGTATTTGTTAAAGAAGAGAGAGGCCAGGGGTGGTGGCTCATGCCTGTAATCCCAGAGCTTTGGAAAGGCAGGGCAGGAAGATCACTCGAGGCCAAGAGTTTGAGGCTGCAGTGAGCTATAATGGCACCACTGCATTATGGCCTGGATGACAGAGACCCTGTCTCAAAAAAAAAAAAAAAAAAAGAATAATGTCATTGAGTACTTGTGTAATTAAAAGCTAGTTTTTAAAAACCCATATAGACTACTTTTGAGTATCTCCTTACTAAATTCTAGGAGCCTCATGATGTTAAGTACAGAGAGGGCCAACTAGTGTTGCCAGCTCCTCTCCTCAAACAAGAATCCATAACTGACCAGAAGAGAGCAAGAGCTGAGGGAAAATAACCAATAAGCTAGCAGTGACAGCCTATTACTACTGAAGAGGTACTTTTAAAAATGCTATTTTAAGTCAGGTGCTCTGTTTTTATTTAAAATAGTTTAAGTCTAGAGAGCTTATTAAAAATAAACAACTGCTAGTTCTATCTTTAGTATTATCTATGCAACATAGTTCAGGAAGTTTTTACATGGTCTACTATGTTTTACTTTTACTTCATATTCTTGCTAATTAATGCTTCCAGAGGAAATCCTTCTTAACTACTAAAGAATTAATGAGCATGCAAAAATGTCCCCTCTATAACGCCAACTATCAAAAACTTCTGTCAGACCTGAAACTGAAGCTTCATTAGCTCCCAGTAAATGGACCTCTGTACGGCTGATCTGACACAAGATGATATGCATTGACAAGCTCTTTCTCTATTTACTGAAGGAATTGCCTGCAATAACTGAATAGACACAAATGACCACTTGCTATGGTCTGAATATTTGTGTCCCCCAAAATTTCCTATGTTGAAACCCAATCCCTAGTATGATGGTACTAAAAGGTTAGACTTTTGAGAAATAACTAGGTCTCATACATAGGAGAGTGGCACAAGGCTCTGCCCTCATGAATGGGATTGGTGCCCTGATAAGAGACCTGGCTAGTCCCTTCCACCATGTGAGGACACTGTGAGAAGGGCAGAGAGCAGCCCTCGCCAGGCACCAATCTGCTGGGTGCCTTGACCTTGGACTTCTGGGCCCCCAGGACTATGAGCATACATTTATGTTATTTCTAAGCCTCCCAGTTTATAGTATTTTGTTACAGCTCTCCAAATGGACTATGACACCAGGCAAGTCAAAACTGAGATGTGTAGATTTTATTATATACTAAAACAAAAAAGATTTTAGTGGAAATGGATTCATGAAATATATTAAAATTGGAGGCAAAGTCTCAGGTCCAACACTGAGTCATCCCATACAGTCACAACAACTGATAAAATCTGAAAGTAACTCTGACATAGTTAACTGGTACTAGACATATAATCACAGGGAGTCATTAAAGGGTACCATGAGGATCAAACAACTTTTAAAAGTAGCACCCTCTGAGAAGGCAGAACATAATCTCTTTCTTTAACTCATGCTAGTTGAGAAATCATTTCGGAACTGATGCCTGAACTGAAATCTTGTGAAGTAGGAGTTAGGAAGTACAATGCAAACAACAAAAGGCAAAGGGTAACCCATCACACACTTAGACAACTATGCATTATGTCATTATCCCGTAGGCAAGGGCGAGTCATAAAGGCAAAAATAAACACACACACATACACCAAGATCAAAGTCAAAAGCCAACGGGGAGAAAGTATGTCCAAGAAACATCACCAAGGACTAATATAATACCCCTACCATACAAAATATCACCAAGGACTAATATAATACCCCTACTATACAAAATATCACCAAGGACTAACATAATACCCCTACCATACAAAATATCGCCAAGGACTAATATAATACCCCTACCATACAAAGTATCGCCAAGGACTAATATAATACCCCTACCATACAAAGTATCGCCAAGGACTAATATAATACCCCTACCATACAAAGTATCGCCAAGGACTAATATAATACCCCTACCATACAAAGTATCGCCAAGGACTAATATAATACCCCTACCATACAAAGTATCGCCAAGGACTAATATAATACCCCTACCATACAAAGTATCGCCAAGGACTAATATAATACCCCTACCATACAAAATATCGCCAAGGACTAATATAATACCCCTACCATACAAAATATCACCAAGGACTAATATAATACCCCTACCATACAAAGGATCACCAAGGACTAATATAATACCCCTACTATACAAAATATCACCAAGGACTAATATAATACCCCTACCATACAAAGGATCACCAAGGACTAATATAATATCCCTATCATACAAAGTACTCTTAAAAACTGGCAATCCCACATCTAAGAAACTATCCTGAAGGCAGGCCTCCAACAGTATAAAACTACACATCCACAAGTTTATTCATTGCAACACCGTTTATAATTACAAACACCAGAAACATTCTAAATGCCATACATAGGAGAGTGGTTGAATAAACTATGGTACATCCACACGAAGGAGTGGCTATTTTTTAAAATGAAGATGATCTTTAAGAGCTGATGTGAGTGATTTCCAAGACATATTGATAAGTGAAAAAAGTCAAGTGCAGAAGAGTATCTTATACCATACTACCTGCTCTTTTTTTTAAGAAAGATAATGCAATAAAATACATATGTATCTGTTGATTTGCACAAAACATACATGAAAGACAAACTAGAAACTAAAGAGACTGGTCACCCACAGAGGGTGGGTAGAAAAGGAGTGGAGGGCGTACAGAATGGGAATGGGAAAGCTGGAACGAGGAGGCTTTTCTGAGTGTATACCCTGGTGCACAGCTCTCACGCTTGGAAGCCACATCAATATTTCACACATCCAAAACACACAATGACAATCAACCAGGATGTGTGTATGGGGAACAAAAAAATGGAATCCAAGCAGTAACAAATTAATCTAACTCAATTACAAATGAATAAAATAACCACATTGAAGGAGGTGAAAAGAAAAAGCAATCTTGGAAAACAGTATTTTGACTGGGACACCATAAAGCTAAAGACAAAAAGAGCCGTACACAAAATCTATATTCTTGGACTTTAAGAGTCAGCAAACCATGTCCATAAAGGGTCAGACAGTAAAGCTTTTCAGCTTTGGAGGCCATATGGTCTCTCTCGCAACCATGCGTGATATATAAACAAATAGGCGGGGCTGTGTTCCAATAAAACTTTATTTACAAAAACATCAAGCGGGCCAGATTGAACCCATGGGCTACAGTTCACTGGCATGTGTTCTAGTTAATAAAGCTGCTTCTCAGAGGGATTTGGGTTAGCAAATTTGAAACTACTTTGATGTTATACTAGAGTTGAGCAAATGAGTAAATGTATTACAGACAGCGGAGTATGGATTTCTCACTGCTGGAGAAAGGAGTTAACAATTAAGGAAAAGAAGAAGGTTAGAATGAATGCTATGGTGTTAAACTGGAAATGGAATTCATCAATAGGAACTCATTTTTAACTGCATATGCAGAGAGATCCATATATAGATGTGCAGGTTTGTGTGGGCTAAGATACAGGCATGCACTTCCAAGCTTTGTCCTCCTAGAGGTTCGAGAGGCAACGGCAACAAGCACGTGTTGCCCCGCATGTGCATTTCTAAATGCCGTTTGCCAATAAAATGAAACAGTGCTCCCTCAAGTGCCTGACTCCAGAGCTGGAGCAAAGAAAATTCAAGATGCACCCTGAGTGTCCTGTGGTAGCTGAAAATAAGAAATTGGGAAAACATGATGAAAGGACATAGGACCCAAACTGCAGGAGCTTCCAATGACCAAAGCTACGACAATCTGAGTAACAGAATAAGAATACTGGATTATAATACATAGAGTTAAAAAAAAATCTAAGTGCATAAAGACATAAATGAGCCCGGCGCGGTGGCTCATGCCTGTAATCCCAGCATTTTAGGAGGTGGAGGCAAGTGGATCGCTTGACCCCAAGGAGTTCAAGACCAGCACGGGCAACATAGCAAGACCCTATCTCTACAGAAAAAAATTAAAAATTAGTCAGGTGTGGTGGCACATGCCTGTAGTCCCAGCTACTCAGGAGGCTGAGGCAGGAGGATTGCCTGAGCCCAGGAGGTAGAGGCTGCAGTGAGCCACATTCACACCACTGCACTCCAGCCTGGATGACAGTGCAAGAGCCTATCTCCAAAAAAAAAAAAAAAAAAAAAAAAAAAAAGACATGAATGAATGATATACAGAGAAGGAATAGCTTCTCCTTGCAAAACAACTCCAATTAGCAAATGTGGAAGAAACAAAGGAACAGACAATCACCATTAGGTAAGCACCACAGAACTGCTGCAGGCCAATGGAATGAATGCTAAAGATGGGTAAAAGTTCAAGGAGAAATGCCCTATTTTCACAGTCTCAAAGTTATCGTCCCCAAGATATGTATTAATTACAAAGTGAAAAGTAGTTACTTTATGGTGGAAAAACTTGGCAGACATCCCCGTAACCAAGTGATTACAGTTAATATCACCAGTAATTAGACAACATCATATACCCCATCTATAAGCGACCCACTGAAATGTATGGGCTGAGCTGCAGTCCCCTAAAACTCCTATATTGAAGCCCTAACCATTATAACCTCAGAATGTGACCACATTTGAAGACAAGAGCCTTTAGTGGGGTGACTGAGTTAACATGAGATCTAGAGGGTGAGCCCTAATCTAACATGACTGGTGTCCTCATACGAAGAAATTTGGACACACACAGACACCGGTGCACGCACGCACAGAGGAAAGAGCGTGTGAGGACACGGCAGAGAGATGTCATCCACAAGCCTCTGAGGGAAGGAAGCCCTCGGGAGAATCCCATCCTGCCCGCACCTTGACCTTGGAATGCACCCTCAGAAACAGTGAGGAAACAAATGTCTGTTGCCTGAGCCACTTGGTTTGTGTATTTTATTACGGCTGCCCAAGGAGACTAACACAGAAGGACACAGTGTTGTGTCTATGGAATTCTGGCCAAAAATGTACTAACCTGACAGAAAACCAGAATTTAGGAACATTTTACAAAAGAACTTAAAGGCACTCTTTGAAAGTGTCCAGATCATCGAAGGAAAGACTGAGGAACCGTCGCAGAAGGAAGGAGCCTAAAGAGACAGGATCTGAATGCAATGCTGGGTCCTGGAACAGAAGAAAGGCATTCATGGGAAAACGTGCAGTGTGAATACAGCCTGCATAGCTCCTCCCAAAGACTTTCCCGGTTTTGGTAACTGTGCTACAATGTTACAGAAGATGTTAACACTCAGGAAGTTGGAGGAGTGGTATTTGAGAATGCTGTATCATTTTTACAACTTTGCTGCGAAACTCTAAAACTACTGCAAAATAAAAAGTTGAAACACTTTCTGTTTGACAGCCATGAAGATCCTCTGGTAGGGGGATGCCAGAATGAATTTCACATTTTGGAAAGATGGCTCTGGGAGCAGCGTGGAGGAGGTGTGAAGGTGCTGCTTCTCAGATGCAGACCTCGCCCTGCCCTGCTCTGAAATCCTGGGTGACGCTTGATGCCAGGCTTTGCCAACAGAGGGTGCTGGAGGGACTGCAAGCATTCCTTTTCTTCTCCAGCATGTGGTTTTCCAGGTGGCACAGCCGGTGGGTCGGCATGCAGGGCCCCTCCTGCTGACCTCAGAGGACTTTGTGGATGGCCACTCTGTCCAGCACTGGCAGGTCTTGCGTCCCTGCGGCATGTACACCCGCTCCCTGCGGTCGAATCTCAGCAGCAGGCAGGCTGCGCTGCTCTCAGCTCCTTCCTCATGCTCCTGCGCCAGCGGCTTGCTGCAGCTGCCCCTCTGTACACATCTCCTTTCAGCCCCTCTGGTGAGTTTTACATGTCCACTTGACTGCTGAAGGGATGCCCAGATGGGTAGCTAGTAAAACATTATTTCTGGGTTTGTCTGTGGGGGTGTTTCTGGAAGACACTGGCATTTGAATCAGTGAACTAAGGAAAGAAGAGCCGCCCTCTTAAGCCTCTTAGGCATCATCCAATCCACTTAGAGCCTGGAGAGAACAAAGAGGTAGACAGAGGAAGGGCAAATCCCCTTTCCCTCTTCATGAGCCAGGATCCATTTCTCTTGCCCTCACACGTCACTGCCCCTGGTTCCCGGGCCTTCAGTCTCCCACTGGGACTTTACGCCACTGGCTCCCCTGGCTCTCAGGACTTCGGGTTTGGGCTGGAACTCCACCACCACTTTCCGGGGCCTCCAGCTTGCAGAAAGCAGATCATGGGACTTCTAGGCCTCCATCATTGCATAAACAAATCCCTATAATAAATCTGGTTCTATATATCTCTCTCTAACCTATGGGTTCGTTTCTCTGGAGGATCCTAAACACCTCTCCAACAATTCTATGAAATTTCCGCCATTCGAATTACCAGTGTGGCTCTGAGCCCTGATGGTACCTTGCCTGATTCGAGTTCTAACATTTCTTTCTACTTTCAAGTTCTAACATTCTTTCTACCAAGCATATGCTTTTTTTTCCCCCAATGGGGAGCAGAATAGAGTTTCACTACTAAGTTACTTAGATTACATGAGTTCCCATGTTTGGTTCTAAAAGTTTCTAAAAGTAAAGCAAAACTTACTCTTAAGTTTAGAGTAAAAAGCTAATTCACTGACTGATGAGCATATACTAGTTTTTAGTGTTTTGAGATCAATGGTTTATATATTATTCCTATTCAAAAGCACCATCTAGTCTGTTTTCTGGGTTTTTGTTTTTTGGGGTTTTTTTGGTCTGATTTAGAAATCTGATTCAAACTAGCTAACACCGTTAACCATGCAGCTACTATGAACAATTTCTCCCTCTTTCTTCTCTTATTTAAAACAAGTGTAACCTGGAACACTCAGATAAAAGTATAGAAATGGGACAGATGCATGCGCTACATGGGCCAAGAGTTCTGTGACATTTTCCACGTTTGTGTTTTAAGTGATGGACTAAAAAAGCCTTCCAGTTATTAAGTCTAATTACTCTTCTTGAATGTTAATTTGCCATTAAAAGACATTTTTTCAAACAACCTAAAATTTCCACCACTGGTCATGAGTAGGAGAATGGACCCAGACGGACGTGCAGACAGTTCCTTTTAGCAGCGGTCTCTATGACAGTCAAGTTTGAAAAACAGTGCCAGGGTCTAGAAACCGCAGAGCGAGGGCCATTCTGTTATTTACAGCAGTGGGGCGAGAGTGATGAGCAAAATAAGCCTCCAAGGCCATCGTTTCCTACTGATGGGGAGGAAGAGCAGGGCCCTGGGCATCAGAGAACAAGCTCTCTCTGGCTCCCAGGCCACTGGCCTGGAGATGCGGTCGTAAGACAAAGGTCTTTATTTTGAGATCTGAACTGTACTTCTATTTCAACACTTAACCAAAGACTCATTCTCTTCAGCTCTAAAAGTGGTGACTAATGCCTGCCCTGCAGTGATGTGGGGAGCCTAGGAGCTAGGTTCTTAGGCAGCGCCCCGCACTTCAACATGACTGAATAATGGCCTTCTCTTGGTCTCAGGCCCACCATTCTCGTGGGTGAAACTGGAGGTTGGCTGACTGGGCGAGGCCACTGCTTAGGACCTTCCTCCTGTAAAACAGGGGGAGTGGCCTCAGCTCTCCCAGACCTCATAACACAAGTGTTACACTTTTCCTCTTACTTCTGTCCACACTGGTTAGTCTGTAAATAACTGACAGCCCAAGTTTCATAAAATTATGGACCTTGACTGGTTTCCTAAAGAGAGCAAACTCTTAAAACATGCACGGCAAACAAAGTATTTTAAAAATCAAAAAGACTTAGGAGAGCAAAAAAAAAAAAAAGCACGCTACGCCATGAGACACATAAGCTATTTTTAAAAAGAAAAGTTTTAAAAAATATAATTTACACCACCAATATAAGGACAAAGGTACCCCCAAAATTCCTCCTAGTACAAAAAACACACATACACACATAGAGTTGGATAAAATATCTTTTAACTACTTTTAAAAATACATCATTTACAAGCTAGAATGAAGAGAAGTCATCAGGAAAATAAAGATGAAAACTAAAAAAAAAAAAAAAAAAAATCAGGAAAGTGAGCCAAGTCTGAAGCCAGGAGATATCCCGAGGCCACGTGCTGATGCTGGACAGGGACACAGAGCCACAGTGACGGGGCTGTAAGGTCAGATTAGAGCCCACGCAGACAGGCAAGGTCAGGGGCTACACTCTCAAGTGAAAGGGCAACCAGGGAACAGAGCCCACACCTGTCTATCGTCTGTCAATCCTGTTACTGGAGAAAGTTGGTGAGAGAATCCTGAAAGAATTCTCATCCATGCCCCAGGCTTCAGAGCAGGATAAAATCTGCTTCACTTCAAGGCAGATGGAGGAGAATGGGGACAGCAGAGGAGGTGCAAAAATTGCCCAATCCCTCAAATCTTGAGATAATAGCCAAGAGAAAACTAAGTGACTGGAAAGGGATGATAAATGGGCAAAAGCTGCAGGACCAGGTGGATGAGGATCTGTGCAGAGGAAGCAGAGGATAGCAACAGGGTGTCTGATGGATGGGAGCAGAAGAACCCTGACACTGTCAACAGGCACCTCACAGGAAAACTCAGGGAGCCAGCTGAGAATAGCAGCCAAAACTAGAAGGGTCTTTGCACACTTCCATCTATAGGTGGATGCAAGTGATCACAGCCAGGTCCGAAGGGACTGCAGCAGTCTAAGGCTGAAGGGCTCTTGAAACTAGCCAGCCAAAGCCTCCTTCTACTAAGAAAAACTGCTGGGAACAGAACAGCAATGGAGCAGGAAAGGGATAGTGTGGGGTGGGGGACGCAATGGAAAGAGAAGGTCTAGCCCAGATGGATGGGGAAGGAGAGGAATGGGAGGACAGCCCTTGAGCTCAAAAGGTACCAGGCCACACTGTCAAGTACTTAGTGAGATGCCGGAAAAGAGAATCCTGTGGCCTCTGAAAACCTCTCCCGCCCACCCTCCCTGCACAAGTGCACACAACCTAATTTCAAATAAAAAGAAGAACAGAAAAAGGATGGTGGCTGACTCTCATACAAACTTATCTCAAGGGAAAAAAAAAGAACAAAATAAACTGAATAATGACCCTAAAAGCAATGAAAGCACAACAGAAAGACACGCTCATGAAACAGACAAGCTATACTCACCCTAGTATTTCAAAACTAAAAATATCAACTTTCTGTAATGGCAGGAAGGGTGAAGAGGTCACACAAACACTCACAGATAACATTTATAATAACTGTTTTTTGTTTTTTTGAGGTAGGGTCTCACTCTGTCACCCAGGCTGGAATACAGTGGTGCAATCATAGCTCATTGCAGCCTCAACCTCCTGGGATCAGGTGATCCTTCCACCTCAACCTCCCAAGTAGCTGGGACTACACACACTGCCATCACACTCAGCTAAGTTTTTTTTATTTTTAGTAAAGACGGGGTCTCACTATGTTGCCCAGGCTTGTCTCAAACTCCTGGCCTCAGGTGAGACTCATGCCTCATCCTCTCAAAGTGCTGGAATTACAGGTGTGTACCACCATGCCAAGCTAATTAGTGATTTTTTTTTCAATGATCTAAAGGTAGTATTTGCAAAAGCCAGGAAGAGAGTTAAATCTCAAAAACTGTAACTAGAAGGGTTAAGAATTGTGAGTTTGTGGCATCTTGGCTCAAGGCACTGCTCAACTCCCACAGCTATTGCTGCAAAACATGGGGGCAAACAAAAGCCAGTTCCTCACCAACTAAAGGTGCCAGATATCAAAATCTGGAATTGGGGAAGCAGCTAGAAATTTAAAGCACTCTGACAGCACTAGAATATAGAGGTGACACTCAAATTCAGAGCATAAGATGCTGAAATCCCTAGCTGACAGCTGAACTACATACTACATATGTGCTGAGGAAACCACAAGCAGCACGGTGAAAAAGCAGTCAGAAACCAGAAAGCAATATTTTTAAAAAAGAGTAACATGGAGCCAAATCTGTGAATATGATGCTCTTTCCCAACTATGCTCAAGCTAGGGCGGCATAAAGCTTGAAATGTCAGAGTACAGAGCTCAAAGCTGGTGGAGTGCTAGAAACTAGGGGAATCCCCAGAATAAAGACAACCACAGAGAAAAGTCCATCTCTACTCAGATCCTTAGCCAACTTTCAAATTTTGCAGACACAGGGGAGACTCACAGGGTGCCACACTAAAACCACCACCAGTGCAAAGACCTAAGAGCAGAGGAGAGCTACAAGCGGCTGCATATCACAGGAAAAACAAAGTGTGTAGTTTGACCAAGCAGTTTATTAACAGTCTGCTACAATAAAAACACAATAATCCTCAGAAGAACACAAGAGTTCAGACTCACTACAGCATATGTCCAACTTTCCACTAGACAAGAAAAAAATAGGAAATCTTGACCCTCTGCAGGTAAAATGATAGTCAACAGAAACTGATTCCAAGTGAGCCGAAATGTTGGATTTAACAGACTTCAAACATTTATCATAAATATTTCAAAAACGTCTGAAAAACATGCCCAAAGAATTGAAGGAAAATATGGTATCAATAAGTGAACAGATATGGCAATCTCAAGGGAGAAAAATGAAACCAGAAAAACTAAAAGCCTAGATCTGAACAAAACATTTACTAAAATAAATGCATTAGACTGGCTAAGCAACGGATTGATGCTTGGTTCTGCCATCTGCAATGAACCTGAATACAGAATAATCTGAAGAACATAAAGAGAAAGAGATGAATGAAAAATAAGTAGAATTCCCAAAAATGTGACAACAGGAAGCAGTACCTTAATTGGACTCTAGAGAGAGGAAAGGAGGAAAAGACATCTGAAGACACAACAACTGAAATATCTCCCAAAAGCTCAATAAACCTCAAACAGAATAACACAAACAAAACTTCTTCTAGACACACCTTAGTCAAATGGTAGAAAGCCAAGGATAAACAAAATCTTGAAAGCAGCCAGAGAAAATGACGTCATAAACAGGAAAACAACGGCAACAATAACGATAAGAACAAAGACTTCTCCTTAGAAACTTTTAAGTCTGAAGACACTGGGACCACATATTCAAATTACTGAAGAAGGAAAAGGAAGAAAACCAGTCAACCAAGAATTCTAGTATTCAGAAGAAGTTTCCTTTAAAAATGAAGGTAAAATAAGGGCATTTTCAAATAAACTATTTGTCATTGGTAGATCTATAACAAGAAATGCTAAAGAAAGATCTCTAGTCCAAATGGAAACTACACTAGATGGCAACTTAGAGCTACAGGAAGAAATGAAGACAGCCAGAAATGGTAATTATGTGGATATATGTAATATCTTAGTTTTCTATAAAAGATGACAGCATAAAGCAAAAAATACAACACTACTGATGGGTTTACAAAGTATATAAATGCAACAACTGTGACAATAATACTAAGGATAAGTAGTGGAACTGGAAACACATCATTGAAAAAATTATATGTCTTATCCAAAGTGATTCAATATTAAAGAAAAAGCTAAGATGCATATAGCTAGAAAACCAACAGAAGAATTAAAATTAATAAGAAATTTTGGTTAACACAAAATCAGCAAAAGAGGAGGAACAAAAGCAAATAAAATCCCTTCCCTAAGAAAAGCAAAAAATGATAGACCTAATATAACCATATTAATAATTACTTTAAATGTAAATGGATTAATTTCAATTAAAAAGCATGGACTATCCGATTATTTTAAAAAGGCAAGAACTGACTATATTCTGGTTTCTAAAGAACAATTTTAAATATAAAGACAGAAACAAACTAAAAGTAACAGACTGGAAAAAGATATACCAAAGCTAGAATGGATACATTAATGTAAAACAAAGTAGACTTCGAAAAGTATTACTAGAAACAAAAAAGACGTTTCATAGTGATTTTAAAAGGAAAATATAACAATATTATAAATATACATCCATCTAATGACAGCTTCAAAATACGTGAAACAGAAACAGAAACAACCAATGCACAATCGTATTTGGAAATTCTAACATATTTCTCAGTAATTGATAAAATTGGACCAAAAAACAATAAAACAAAGAGATGAGAGATCTTGGCTGGGCGCAATGGCTCATGCTCTGTAATCTCAGCACTTTGGGAGCCGAGCAAGGCAGGCAGATCGCCTAGCTCAGGAGTTCAAGATCAGCCTGGGCATATCATGAAACCCCATCTCTACAAAAACTAGCTGGGTGTGGTGGCACACACCTATAGTCCCAGCTACTTGGGAGGCTGAGGTGAGAGGATCATCTGAGCCTGAGAAGTGGAAGCTATGCTGAGCCATGATCACGCCACTGCACTCCAACCTGGGTGAGTGAGACCTTGCCTAAAAAATAAAAAAATAAAAAAAAAATGGGAGACCTATGTGACCATACCAACTGTAGTTTAGCTGGTATTTATGAAAAGCTCCATCAACAACCAGAGAATTATATAATCTTTTCAAATACACACAGAACATTCACCAAGACAGACCATATACTGGGCCATAAAACAATTCTGAATAGATTCCAAAAAACTGAAATCTTATAGGAAATGTGCTTTGACTACAATGGAATTCAAAATCAACAATAAAACATTTAGAAAAACCTCAAATATCCACAATTTAACCTAATTCTAAACCCAGGGGTCAAAGAAGAAATCACAAATCAACCCAGAAAATATTTTGAACTGGATTCTAATGAAAGCATATCAAATTTTGATAGACTGAAGCAGAGCTGCAAGTAAATGTACAGCACTATATGCTCATGTAAGACAATACAGCAATGGCCTAAACTTCCACCTTAAGAAACCAAAACAGAAAAAGCAAATTAAACTGAAAGTAAAGGTAATAATAATAAAGAGCAGAAGCAAGTATCTGCTAATGAACGCAACATTTTAGATGAGGTAAATTCCTTTAAAGATACAACTTTCACAAAAACTGACCCAAGGAGAAATGTTAAGTCTAGCTTATGTTTAATTAAAGGCTGTGAATTCATAATCTAAAAACTTATCACAAAGAAAATCTTAGTCCCCAATAGCTTCACTGATAAATTTTAGTACATATTCATGAAAGAATCCAAACCAGTACAATACATTCAATTTGAGAAACAGAGAAAGTGCTTCCTAACTCCTCTTATGAGGCCAGCATTAACTGTGATGTGAAATAAGAAAATTATAGACTGACATACCTTATGAAGATAGACACAATTCCTCAAGGCACTGACATTTATTAAAAGATATGTTAACATCTTCAGATCAATTCATACTGAGACCAAAAGTATACCATATCTACTCTTAGACCCACTGTAATAAAACTACAGAACTATCAAAGGTAAGAAATCTTAAACTATCAGAAACTCAGATAACTTAGAAAAGGAGGACAGGAGACTTTTCATCAGCTCTAAGACTGATAAAAACGGTAAACCAATAAACTTATCTCCAGCTAAAATGTCATTACTAGTGACAATAGTGCAATTATCTTTAGACAAATGAATACCAAGAACTTATCCCCAAATCCTCACTAAAATAATTATTAAAAGATGTCTGGCAAGGCATGGTGGCTCATGCATGTAATCCTAGCACTTTGGGAGGTCAAGGTGGGCAGATTGCTGGAGCCCAGGAGTTCAAGACCAGCCAGGGAAACACGGTGAAACTCCATCTCTACAAAAATTACAAAAATTAGCCAGGTGTAGTGGCACACACTTACAGTCCTAGCTACCTAGGAGGCTGAGGTGAGAGGATCATCTGAGTCCAGGAAATCAAGGCTGCAGTGAGCTGTGACTGCGCCACTGCATTCCAGCCTGGGCAACAGAATAAAATCCTGTCTCCAAAAAAAGGAAGAAAAGAAAAAAAAAGATGTTCACTCCTGGGTATCATACTCAAACAACAACAACAACACAGAAAATACATGTTCATACTAAAACTTCTACATGAATGCTCATATTCATAATAGACAAAAAGTAGAAACAACTCAAATGTCCCACCAAGTGACGAATGGATAAACAAGTCACAGTGTATCCACAAAATGGGGTATTAATCAGCTACAAAAAGGAATGAGTCACCGATACATTCTGCAACACAAACCTTGGAAACATTCTGCTAAGTGAAAGAAGTCAGACACAAAATGTATGTTTCCATTTATATGACATGTACAGGATAAACAAACTCACAGACACAAAAAGTGGATTCATGGTTGCCAGGGGTCTAGAGTAAGATGGGAATTGACAGCTAATGGGCATGGAGTTTCTTTCCAAAAGGATAAAAATGTTCTGGTATTAGATAGTGGTGGCGGCGGCTGTACAACTTTGTGAATACACTAAAAACCAGTGAACTACATACTTTAAAAGGAGAAATTCTACGGTATGTGAACTATATCTCAAAAAAAAAAAAAGAAATGAAAAGAAAAGAAAAAGATGTAATTCAGGAAGAAAAAACAGCCCACGTAGAAGAGAAGGAATAAAGAAAACAGTAAGTTCTCAAATGAAATGTCGGGAAATTTAAGTAACCTGTGATTTTTAGAAGTATTATTGATGTGTTTTCTAAAGTTAAAATTAATCTAGTGGAGGGTAAGATTACAGATTAGAATGAAGAGTTAATCAGTGAATTTCCTTATTGTGTCTTCAAGAAAGATGGATATAAATTAAAGTAATATACATATTTCATTTTTGGTACACTGAAAAGAATTAAAAATTCTAGATACATGTCAAATAGGAGAGAGAATACATTCAAAAGGTGAAGAATGCCAATATCCTTGTCACATTCCAGGAGAAATTATTGAATAATTTAATCAAAATAACAGATAAGCAGAATTCAAAGAAACTAATGGCAACCACAAGGTCAGACACAGAATCTGTATAGTTCAACACAGCAAAGTAATAGCAAATCCATGTAGAAAAATCTCTCATACCAACAAGGTGCTAACACTAAAAGTAAGCCAAGAAGAATGATAAACAGCAAACACTAAGAATTCCAAACATTATAGTAATAACAAAATTAAACACATTAAACTGATAAAAGATACTACTGAAGTGTTAAAATCTAGTTATATGGTGCTCTCAAGACAGAGTTCCAAACAAAACCAAACTTTTTTAAATAAAAAGGGAAGGAAAAAGATTCAACTAGTAAATACTATCCAAAACTAGTTATTACAGCAACATAAACACATTTTAAGGGAAAAATTCATTAAGTGATGGGCACTACACCTTAATACAATAAACGATCATGAATTTGTATACATCTAAAGCCTAGGCTCAAAATATACAAAATATTTATTGGCAAACCTATAATCTTAGGAAACCAACTCATTTGTGCCAGTTAATTAAAAGATCGGGCCAGAAAACAATGAAGGGTATAGTAAATACTTCATAAAGAAAATACATTTGACATATATGTACATATATGAACCCTGAACAAATATTTAAATCTAATCCCAATATAAAATATTTTATAAAATCACAAGAAAAAAACTTTTCACCTTAGAAATGTAAATGTTCTCACATCAAACTAAAATCATTTTTTGGTTTTCATTTTTTATACTTTTTGGCCTTTTAGACCTATGAATAAATATCCTACTCAAAAAATAAGTGGGCCAGGCGCAGTGGCTCACACCTGTAATGCCAGCACTTTGTGAGGCCGAGGCAGGCGGATCACATGAGGTCACGAGTTCGAGACCAGCCTGGCCAACATGGTGAAACCCTGTTACATGGTGGTGCGTGCCTGTAGTCCCAGCTACACAGAAGGCTGAGGCAGGAGAATCACTTGAACCTGGGAGGCAGAGGTTGCAGTGAGCCTAGATCACACCACTGCACCGCACTCTAACCTGGGCAACAGAGCAAGACTCTGTCTCAGGAAAAAAAGTGAATGTATTTTAAATAAACAGAAAAAAAATCTGAAAGTGAAAAAAATGAAATTAAACTTACAGGATGCAGCAAAAGCTGCATTTAGAGGATAATGTTCATGAAAGAACAATACGAGCTCAATGTTCAACTCAATGAGCTATAAAAAGAACCAAATAACCTAAAGGCAGAAGGAAATAAAGAACCAGAAATAATGAAAGACAAGGATGCAACAGAAAGAACCGAGACAAAAACTGATTCTTTAAAAAAAAAAAGAGAAAAGAAATACCTCTAAGAGAAAAGGTACAAAAAGAATGAGGCATGCTGAATCACAGAGCCAGTATAGATGTTTAAGTATCCTAAGAATCTTCTAATATAAAAGACATTAAACCATAATTGATTCAAGAAATAGTACTCATAAATCAATAAGATCAAATTCTCGATGGAAAATAAATAGTTCACCTTCCATCCTAAAAGGCAGCAGAGAGGCTCAGATGATTTTTTAGGCAAGTAAAGCCAAAACCAGAAAAAAACAGAATTTCCAAAAATTCTAAAAACTGAGAAGAGAAAAAAATATTCAGTTGTGTCTTTCTCTTTCATGTGACTAATTATAACAATGATTAGGAAAAAAACTGTAGCAATATACACAAAATAATACATGTGACTAAGCAGAGTCACATTTATCCCAGAAATGTAAGGATGGCTCAACATCAGAAAATAAAAATAAGGGTAAAACAACAATCTGCAATAAATGCAGAAACATATTCAATAACCAAGATTTAAAACTCTTCACAAGCTAGTAATAAAACTTTAACCAGATTTTTTTTTTTAAAAAAGAGCATCTAACAAATATTCACAGCTTTTATTTAATAGTAAAATTTTACAGATCCACTCTTTTGGAATTAGAAATAAAACAAAAATGCTTGTTGTTACAACTTACATTCAACGTTGTACTTGACGGTCCTAGCCAATTCAGTACAAGAAATAACAGGTACTGCAGGAGTTCGAAAAGAAAAAAAAAACTATCCCTATTTGCACAAGATATAATTGTCTACATATAAATCTAAAAGAAATTACAGTTTTTCAAATACAAAGACAGTTTAACAAGTCTGCTAGATATAAGATCAGATATACATAAACAGCCTTTCTATGTACTGGCATTAACCAACTGCTTTTCCATCAACGAGACCAACAACAACAACAACAAAAACTCTAGTTTCTAGGAATCAATCAAGAAAGGTTATGCAAAACTTTCAAAAGGTTCATAACAAAACATTACTGAGAGAGACGAGATACGAGTAAGGGACATGCACCCCATGCTCTTCGATGCAATCCCTTCTGGCCATCTCAGGAAATCATTCCAGCCACTGTCCCTGCACTCTCTCTCTCCTGGCCCTCCCCTTCCCGAGCTCTTTCCCATCATCACACAACTACCATCATTCCTCTGTCTTTAAGCAAACAAACCCCGGAGCCTGCCCGGCACTCCCAGTTCTCTTTCCATGAAACCCTTCCGAGGAGTCGCCCATAATCACCACCTCTAAATCCTCTCTTCCCATTCTCTCATGAGCCCATGCCAGACTCCAGTCTCCATACTCCACTGAAAGAGCTGCTGCCAAGTGGCCTCCGCGCTGCCAAATCTAACAGTCAATTCTCAGTCCTCAGCAGCACCAAACACAGTGGGGCTCGTTCCCTCCTTGAGGTTTTCTTCCAGTGCACCACTATCTCTCGGTTCTCCTCCTCCTCTGGCCACGTCTCTTCTCAGTCTTCTTTACTGTGTCTCTTATCTCCCCGCAAGCTCTATGTGATGACGGCTACAGTGCCCCCAGGATTCAGTCTTCACATCTCTTCTCTACTTATGCTTACCTCCTGGATGATTAAATGCACTCATGGCTCTAAGAACCAAGTGTACTACATGGATAACTCCTAAAATTCTCTCCTGCCCTGAACTATAATCCTGTGTAGTTCACAGCTGCCCAGCCGCTCCCACTAGATGTCTAAAAGGGATCTCAAACTCGACACATCTAAAATCCAACTCCTAAATACCCACCAGCCCTCCAGGGCAATAAAGTCAAAGCTGCACCCTACACATGAACCCCCATCTCAGTAAATGGCAAGTCCACTCTAGTTACTCAACCCCAAAAACTCCAGGTCCCTTCTATTCCTTCTCATTCCCTCATATCCGATATCCATCCATGGGTAAATCCTGCTCAGCAATACCTTCAAAATATCCCCGAAATGCAATCACTCCTTACTACCTCCCAATGTCACCACCTGGGTTTCAAACCACCATCATCCTTTGCCTGGATTATCCTGCCAGCCTCCTAGTTGGTCTCCCGGCTTCCTTCTAAGTCTCCCTCCAGTTGCCCAGATAGCATCTGGCATAAACTTTAAAATAATTTAATTTTATTACATCATTCCTTCATGGCTTCCCATCTTACTACAAATAAAACTCAAAGTACTTCTTAGCACATTTATGAAGTCCTACAAGTACCCCCAACCTCATCCGCCATTCTCTCCCTTGGTTTCCAGAGACACTGGCCTCCTGCCGGCCTCACTCCAACCCCAGTCCCAAATGTTACCCTATCAATGAAGCTCTCCCTGATTGCTTCACCTAAAAATAACACCACCCCCACCAGCCACTAGCACTCCGATTCTCACTAGACTGTTGCCACCACTAGAATAAAAGCTCCTTGAAGGTGGGCGGGCAGTGGCTGAGCGGTCATGCCCGCTGCTATATCTCCAGTGCCACAGATTAATCCATGAACGCGATGCAGTACCAACCCCAGTTCAACAGGGTTTCTCACGTAATCAACATGATGATTCCAGGGTGTAGATGGAAGAGCACACCACCATGAGGAGAGAAATTTGCCAGAAAAAAAGAACACAATGAAGATACCTGGAAGGACGAGTTTCCAAGACTTACATAAAGCCATGCTAGTCAAGCCAGCATGGTATGAATCAGGAAAGACAAATACCAATTGAACAGAAGAAACTGCCCTACACATGGATGGAAACATCTATGACAGAGGTGGCAAATAATGGGGAGAGATGGTCTATTTACTAAACAGTGCCTATGGATTATCCACATTTTAAAAATAAGTTGAACCCCAAGCTCAGGCTACACTGTAAAAACAAACTATAGGTAAGTGAAAGTTCATACTGTAGAAAGCAAAATATTTAGATGAAAACACAGCAGACAATGATCTTGGGGTAGGAAGGATTTCTTAAACAAAAAACGAAATGAGAGAAGCCAGGCGCGGTGGCTCATGCCTGTAATCCCAGCACTTTGGGAGGCCAAGGTGGGCAGATCACTTGAGGATAGGAATTCCAGACCAGCCTGGCCAACATGGTGAAACCCTGTCTCTACTAAAAATACAAAAATTAGTCGGCCATGGTAGTGTGTGCCTGTAGTCCCAGCTACTTTACTCAGGAGGCTGAGGCAGAAGAATCACTTTAACAGGGAGGTGGAGGTTACCGTGAGCGGAGATCATGCCACTGCACTCCAGCCTGGGCAACAGAGTGAGACTCTGTCTCAAAAAAAAAAAAAAAATTTTTTTTTAAATAAAAATTTGACTACATTAAAATGTCAGATTTAATTTGGCAAGTGAAACATAAATGTATTATTGATTTTAAAAAGGACAAAGCCATATATCAGAAGATATTTCCAACGTATATAGTAGCAAAGATTAGAATCTATTATATACCAAGATCTCCAACAAATCAACAAGGAAAAGGCAAAATAAAAGTGATCCAATGATGTAAAATGTTTTCATATAAAATTCTACAATTCCTGGCCAGATGCAGTGGCTCACATCTGTAATCCCAGCACCTTGGGAGGCCGAGGCGGGTGGATCACGAGGTCAGGAGATCGAGACCATCCTGGCTAACATGGTGAAACCCCGTCTGTACTAAAAATACAAAAAAAAAAAAAAAATTAGCCGGGCGTGGTGGTAGGCGCCTGTAGTCCCAGCTACTCGGGAGGCTGAGGCAGGAGAATGGCGTGAACCCAGGAGGTGGAGCTTGCAGTGAGCTGAGATCGCGCCACTGCACTCCAGCCTGGGCAACAGAGCAAGACTCCGTCTCAAAAAAAAAAAAAAAAATTCTACAATTCCTTCCTATTAACTTATATTTATCTTCTACTAAATACCATGCATACGATTCTGTGTTTATGAAATAACTGTTAACTGTATACATCTACTCTTCTGTCCAGAATGGTCTTCTGTGGTTCGTAGTAGTTAGACCAGGGTGGTAGGGCATGGGACTTTTTTTTTTTCTTTCTTTGATGTTTCTTTGCTCAGTAAACACGCACAGGGCCCTTAAATTATATACGTCCCACACTAAGGTAATGAGACCATGTAAATGCTAGAAATTCAGAGGGCCTGTCTGCCAAGTGGATGTCAGCTAGTTCAAGCCAAGACGTCAGAGGCCAAACTCTCAGTTCAAAGAAGCTGTTGACAACACAGAATATCCTCAGAACTTTTTCTCTTTTAGGACTGCCCTCCAACACAGTTTTTTGAATATGCTCTATGGTGCCAAATCTTCACTCCCTAATTGAGAAACAGATTTTGACGTGAACTAAAGTACTTCAGTACTAGAAGTCTAGAGAGTGAGGTTGATGATACATTGTAAATCAAAAGTGGTTTCTCACACACAAAATGAAAGGTCTTCGTTAAAAATTTCATCACTAGGGCCCAGCCCTGTTCCCTCCACCTCACTGATTCTCAAAACATCCTGATTTCCACATCTCTCTGAGCCTATGGAATCGGTTATACAGTGAACAGTGGTATTGATGACAAAGATCATATGATGCTTTCTTGATTCTTAGGAATGTCAATGCTGGCCACTGTATATGAGTCTTCATGTTGGGTTTTGGAAAGCTTCCTCCCTTAATGTATTCTCCAAAGACGTTACACTTCGTTCTGTTTCTCTAAGAAACACTAATAACAGATATTAAATCATCAGTTTGTACCTACCTTTGGGGTCTAATTTTTTAAAAACTCAAATTCTCTTCCAAAGTGAGCACTTGCTGATGTTTGTTGGACCAAATTTTCAGTTAGCCTACTTGGACAAATCCAATCTCTGATATTTTCTCTGTTTTTATCAATCTTTTGTGCTTCATTACAGATACTTGCTTAACTTGAAATCGTTGATGACAGTCAAAAATTGCTTTCCATGATGATGCATTAAATACATTCTTCCTGCAAATTTGCTTAACCTCGTACAAAGCTTATTCATTTTCTATTCTGTAATTAGTCACTCATTTTTGGGTCCATACAAAAGATTTCCAAGGTGCTGTACACAGGAAACCTACTGGCTGCCTTTGAAATTACAGGTAATTAGCTGAGCCTTCCTATTCTACTTCCATAAGCTACATTACAAAATGTCATTGCTTTAGTCAAGTCTGCTCTGTGTTCTGCTTAATGATCCCATGTATGATGACCAGGGGAAAAGGCAGATGAGGAACTCAAATGTCCGCCTACTTTCCAAAAGCGCTTCAGAAATTCTCCTAACTCTAGTCCTCATACCAAGAAAAATGAGTTTGTTGTTGTTAAGGTCACTAGTATGTGTCTTGGAGAAAAATAACATCTAATGTTCTCAAGCAAACCCAAAACCACAGCAGTAACACCTCCTGAACTCTGACAAGCTTTTATACAGCATGCAAAAGGTCACTTACACATAGTATTAAGTCCCATTGTTAACTGCTCACTATACATTTGTTAAGTAAAAAGCTGTCTTCGTATTTAAAAGGTTTCATTAGTACTTTATAAACTCAAGGCTTTCAAATACCACCACCCTTAACAAACACTTACTGAAAGAGTAAATAGCTTCTTGCTAATACAGCATATATCCAAAAGAGATAACTGAGGAGAACAGCAAATCTTCCTATATGCTTGTTGCTTTTTATCATTATCAATATCCACACAACACCAGCCTAGCAAAACCCTGACAGGATGATGTCCTCAATGATGTACAGCAGGAGAGAAAACCCATTCTCCAGCAAGGACAAATAACCCACAGGGAAGGGGGAGCACAAAGGCATAAAGGGCAGCTTTCTGTCGTCTGAAAGGCGATTTGTTTTAGAGGAACAGGAGGATTTTATTGTTCACCTGATGTCTTTCATTAAGAACAGGAAACTACACTTCTCTGAATGGTTCAACTCCCCATTACTCCATGGAGTGCTGCGGGGGCCCTACCCAGGGGCAGGTGAGAAGAGTAACACCCAGAGTAGGTGGGAAAGAGCCAGATAGGGCCAAAGGCAGGAGAGCTAGGGAAACAGAGCAAAGTCATTTGGGAACAACGCTGAACCCAGAGTTCAGATAACTGATTCTACAACAATTTTTAGTGGCAGGTGCTTTCTGATGCACATGGCCCCTCAAAAGCTCACAGAGCACTGCAGAGCTCCTCAAGGACTGTACTGGGTAGCAGCCATTTAAGTTTGAATCACTGGAGTTCCTGCCCACTGGGAGTGGGGGAGATGCCTAGGGCGGGGAGGCTGCCAGGGCCAGGGAAACAGAAATAAAACCGGCCCAGCAAGACAGATGTGGTGCGGAGGGCCCACCGTGCCCAGAGACACCACTAGGGGAGAGAAGCGCAACTGAAACCCAGGAGCAGCCAGGCGCGGCAGGTCACGTCTGCAATCTCAGCACCTTGGGAGGCTAAGGAGCAGATTGCTTGAGCCCAGGAGCTCGAGACCAGCCTGGCCAACATGGCGAAACCCCGTATCTACTAAAAATACAAAAATTAGCCAGGCACGGTGGTGCACACCCATGGTTCCAGCTACTCGGCAGGCTGAAGTAGGCAGATCACCTGAGCCCAGGAGACAGAGGCTGCAGTGAGCAGAGATCATGCCCCTGCACTCCAGCCTGGGCAACAGAGCAAGACCCTGTCTCAAAAACAAACAAACAAAAAACACGAAAACCAGGAGCTTCTGCATGAAGCAGTATGGCTTGGCTATTCCCGGGACAGAATGTAAAGCCAGGAGGAGCAGCACCTGGCCCGCCATGTAGCTACAAGACAGGGAGGGCTCTAACTCACATAGCTTCACCTTGAGGGACAGGGCCAGAGGCTGGTCCACCTGGCACAATGGAGGAAGCAGCAACATCCTTCATCCCAGAACAGCAGAGCAAAGCCTGCGGGGATCCTAACAGGTGGGGTGGGAAGGGGGCTGGCTGTTCGACAGGCAGACCACAAATTCCGGAGAAACACGGGTCACACTAGATATGAATTACACACTTCTGCTGCCGAATGGTGGTGGGGAAGCACAGAAAGGATTGGAATTTCCATCCTTACAGTTCCCACCCCAGTGACCCAGGAGAGTGAGGGCTCAGGAATATGGTGGGGGAGGGGTGGTGTTTCAATCTTTGAGAGTTCCTGACCCACCTTCAGGGCCTAGGGACGTCCTTATTTGCCCCAAGGGTTCCTTTTCAAACTCTAAGGGAAGCACTTTTCTTCACAGAGACCTGCTCCACTACTGAAAAGCCTTTTTTTTTTTTTTTTTTTTTTGACAGAGTCTCACTCTGTCACCCAGGCTGGAGTGCAGTGAGGTGATCTCGGCTCACTGCTAACTCCACCTCCTGGGTTCAAGTGATTCTCCTGCCTCAGCCTCCCGAGTACTTGTGACTACAGGCACCACCACACTTGGCTAAATTTTTGTTTAGCAGAAACGCGGTTTTACCATATTGGCCAGGCTGGTCTTGAACTCCTGGCCTCAAGTGATCCTCCTGCCTTGGCCTCCCGAAGTTCTGGGATTACAGGCGCCAGCCACTACACCCAGCCTGAAAAGCCTTTTTAAACAGTTCACCAAACCCCAAGTCATGTCCCTTTCCTGCTACAGAAGTGAGCCACTGGAGACCCAAAAGAAGGACCCTGACCTTTCCTTTCAGTGGAATTATGACTATAAGACTCGAATTTCGACCAGGTGCGGTGGCTCACACCTATAATCCCAGCACTTTGCAAGGCCAAGGTGGGCAGATCAGTTGAGGTCAGGAGTTCGAGACCAGCCTGGCCAAAATGGTGAATCCTTGTCTCTACTAAAAATACAAAAATTAGCCAGGCGTGGTGGCGCACACCTGTAGTCCCAGCCACTGGAGAGGCAGAGGCAGGAGAATTACTTGAACTGGGAGGCAGAGGTTGCAGTGAGCCGAGATCGTGCCATTGCCCTCCAGCCTGGGCAACAGAGCGAGACTCTGTCTCCCAAAAAAAAAAAAAAAAAAAAAAAGACTTGAATTTCAGAGCAGCCTGTCCGCACCTCCACCTGCATGTCTTTGGTCTCCTTCTCTCCCAGCTGCCTTTCTGTCAAAGGTGAGGGGGCAGCGTTGCCATGAAGCTGCCCAGCTCAGACCCACGATTTCTTTTCTGTTGACTTTCGTTAGGTTCCTGGGCAAGCTGAATGTGTCTGGTCTCAGCACTGAACTTCTGCCAAGGTATGAGCACGCACTTCCACAGGACCTCATTTCCATGATCTTTTCAACATACTCTATACAGTCACTGCAGCCTCTTCATTTTTAAGCAGCCCCAATCTAGAGCTACTTAGGAAGGACTGAGGAATGCACATTTAGATATGTATCTATCAACCGAATCAAGATTTTTTCAAAAAGCTCATTTACGAGCAGAAACCAGTGGTGTCGCAGGATGGCGTGCCAAATGATTCTGGGGAAACTCTGACTCTGACTCGTCTAGGTGCACTCTGAAGGAAGGGCACAACGAATCAGTCTAGTTAGCACCTCCCTCAAACACACACTCCTACTTCTTTGCATCCCTAAAGGTGCTAATAAAATAATCACTCGCCTCTTGCTTTAAGTTCAAAAGCTCATCTGCATATGAGAGAGAAGTTAGAGGACTAAGAATCCCAGAAGTCTGTCCTGCTGGGAGAGTTGGCTACACTCTACCTCACGTGCCTGGGGTGTAAGACAGTTGAGAACTTCCCTCTGGACTGTGCAGATGAAAAGCCAGGTAACACAAACACAAGTGGGCAGCCATTCTTCTACTTCCCAGGCCAGAGCTCTGCAGGGCCACCAGCAAGTGCAGAAGCCAGGGTCAAGAATCAGGACAGGAGGAGTGAAGCCTCAACTCGAGGGACCTGGCAGATGGCTGAAAATCAGGTTAGAGGGACACAGCTGGACATGCAGACAATAACACTCAGGAAAGAGGGAGGAGAAAAAGGGTGGAAACTTCCTGGAAGACATGGAGTTCTCCAAGGGTACTTTGGTCTAGCCCATAGACAGAGAGGAGTTATGAAGCAGATTGGTCCTCATTCCAACAGGGACCCTACAAATGCTCCCACAACCAGCTCAAGGCAACAGCACAGTCACTTTTTTAAAGTACAGAGAATAAACAGCGAGACTCGAGATAAAAACTACTAGTGCACCTTCTCTTGAACCCCTAGCAGTAAGATGACTGCAGACAGAAAACAAGTATTTTTAATCTTTATTGGTTAAAAACAATTACTAAAACAAACTTTTTAAATTTTTTTTGAACTACTTAATTCAAATCTTATTTACATTTCACCAGATCAGCTAATGCCTCCTTTACCCGGCATCATTATGGAAGGTAACACAGTCCGTCTCTGCTTCTGAAGCCAGAGTACACACACACAGCAAGAGACCAAGGGCACACAGGGCCACTAATCCACAGCTCAGCTTCCTGAAACATCAGCCTAAATCAAGGATCTCTGGAGAAGAGCTCCTTGGTAAATATGTTTAAAATATTTCATATTGAATCCCAAAAATTGTATGGACTACATGGTTAATATCATAAAACATGTAAGGTAACTTGAGATTTCAAACAACAGGTCAGGCTTGCAAAGGCCATTTCCTCCTCCCTCCCACCTCCACCTCCTTAGGAGAATTCCTGCTGACTCCTCTGCCGTCTGGAGAACTTGGGTGGAAATGACCATAAAATTTATGTTTAAGTTTACCATAAAAGTAGACTTAATTTTTTCGCTTACACTTACATAGCAACACTTTTTAAAAACTCTTCTTGATAGCTCTTTGCAACATATGCCTTTTCTTTCATAAGCATGCCCTTCACTTGCTCTAAGGGGCGCAGGACTGGCCCCACGGAGCCTGTCACCTCAAGACTTGGAGTGCCATCACCAGCTACCCTCTTCAGCGAACTTCATGAACAAACTTATTAACGTCAATTCACCTGCCTCTGGCAGAGCCTTTTCCTTTACCAAATAACCTGTTTCTAACATGCTAAAGGTGCCAGTCAAGTCCAAGTACATAATGCCTAAAGGAAATGTCAACAGTCTCCAAGAGAGACCCAGAGCTGTTGTCCAGTGTGCATGGGGTGGTGCATCTTTTTGCAAACTAAGATGACTTTTTTTGTCCTGGTTCTGAGATACACTAAAGAGCTGGGATATCCACATTAGTTACATGCTATTAATAAAATAAGAAAAGCTTCTGTGTGCAACTATGTGATGCCTTGAATTCCTAAACAGTAAACTACTAATGAAAAATGGGTACAAGTGAAAAACGGATACATTTTAACCAAAGAACATTCATGATGTGCAGTCAACATTGTTGGGTTTTAACAACAAACACTAGGAAGCTACCAACAAAGAAAACTTCACATAGCAGAGAGCCTACTACAAATGGAAATAAGACAAAAAGTAAATAAAAGACATTCTCTAGATATATTGAAGCTAACCTCTCCACAAAAAAGAAAGTATACTATACGGTCACACGTTGCTTAACTACAGTGATATGTTCTCAGAAATGCGTTGTTAGGCAATTTCACTGCTGTGCGAACCTCACAGAGTGAACTTACACAAACATCAATGTTGTAGCCTACTACACACCTAGGCTGTATGGTAGAGCCTATTGCTTCCAGGCTACAGACCTGTACAGATGTTACTGTACTGAACACTGTAGGCAATTTTAACACAATAGTGAGGACTTGTGTATTAGTCCATTCTCACATTGCTAATAAAGACATACCCGAGACCGGGTAATTTATAAAGGAAACGAGTTTAATTAACTCAGTTCCACATGGCTGGGGGGGCCTCACAATCATGGAGGAAGGTGAATGAGGAGCAAGGTCACACGTTACATGGTGGCAGGCAAGAGAGCTTGTGCAGGGGAACTCCTTTTTATCAAACCATGAGATCTCATGAGACTCACTATCAGGAGAACAGCAAGGGAAAGATCCACCCCACGATTCAACTACCTCCCACAGGGTCCCTCCCATGGTACGTGGGAATTATGGGAGCTACAATTCCAAATGAGATCTGGGTGAGGACACAGCCAAACCATATCAACTTGTGTATCTAAACATAGAAAAGGTACAGTAAAAATGTGGTATTATAATCTTACGGGACCACCATCGTAAGACCAAAGTATCATTATGTGGTACAAGACTATATATCAAGGCATGCCGAACAAAGACATTGAACATTTTGCTTCAGAAGCAATTGCGTTATAACTATTATAATCCATTTTCATAAACAGTCCTCTTGAAAACTACTGTTTTGCATTTTCAATATCATCAGGTAAATCTCAAGTGTTGGTTCAAAGCCTCAATCCCTGCTCATGTCACAAATTCCAAATCAAGAAGGTTTCTTCAGATTCTGGCAATAAAGCAAACATGACTCCAAAGGGCCCTCTCATTACAAATTAACTAGATCTTTAATAAAATATAACTCTCATTAACAGTGATACCATATAGCAATTGTAGGAAACAAGGAAAATATCCCAGCTGCCTCAGTAACTGCCCCCAACCCAAAATAATGACTAAATCATAAAATGGACAAACACCAAAGACTTAAAAAACGAATTGCAGATTAGGTAAAAACTCCCCAGAATATTTCGAAGTAAAAAATGTAATTATTGAAAATTAAAACTCAATGGTTGAATAAAACAGCAGATTAAACACAGCTCATTAGTGAACTATAGTTTAGATCCAAGGAAATAGCTAAAATGCAGCACATAAAAAGAAAACAAAACACAAACAAGGAGATGGAAATGAAAAGGTAAAAGACAAAGAAGAGAGAATGAAATGATCTGATAGATGTCTACTTGGAATTCCTGACGAGTACAGAGAAGGAGTATTTGAAGACAAACTGGCCAAATCCATTTTCGAGCTGATGAGGCACAAATCCAAAAAGCAGCACAACATATACCCACCTAACTAATAAAAAATCACACAAAATACATTGTCGTATTAAACAAGAGGAAACCAAAGTCAAAGAGATGATCTCAAGAACAACCAGAGACAGAAGACAGATCTCCTATAAAGTGACTGCACCTATGCTGACAACAGTCTTGGCCAGGTGCAGTGTGGCTCACACCTGTAATCCAAGCACTCTGGGAGGCTGAGGCGGGTGGATCACTTGATGTCAGGAGTTCGAGACTAGCCTGACCAACATGGTGAAACCCCATCTCTACTAAAAATACAAAAAATAGCCAGGCATGGTGGTGCATGCCCATAATCCCAGCTACTTGAAAGGCTGAGGCAGGAGAATCACTTGAACCAGTGAGGCAGAGGCTACAGTAAGCCAAGATCATGCCACTGCACTCCAGCCTGGGCGACAAGAGTGAAACGCCACCTCAAAAAAAAAAAAAAAAGTCTCAAGAATAGTGCAAAGGCAAGGCAGAAGACAATGGAGCACCATCTTCAGAAGGAGCTGAAAGAAATTAACCAATTAACTGGTTTTATTTGAAATACTATTCTCTTTCAAAAAATGATGGCAAAATAAAGACATGTCCAGATAATAATAATTAAAAAAAAAAAACCTAGAAACTTTTCCATCCATAGTCCCTCACTAAAGAAATCTCTAAAGGATACACTTAAGAAAAAAAAAAATCCCAGAAGGAAGTTCTGAGATAGAAGATGGACGATCTGATTGAAGAAACTATGAAGTCAGAGGTGAATCTAAAGAAAGGTTGTATAAAATAATAATGTTCTATTTGATGAGGGATTTTTTCATGGGCAATAAGAAAGCAGTAGCATGTGAGTTCAGGAATGCACCAGGGTTCAAGGAATGTAAAATCTTTACATTGTCAGAAGTGCCATTAAATACTGACTATCTTTAGACATCATGTATGCATAGCTGCAAAATTAGCCACTTAAAGACTAGAAATAGCATACAACTTCTAAACCCAATCAGTGAGGTTTTAATATGGTTTTACTGTAATTTGTGGCAGAGGACAGTTCAACAAAAATAATGTCAAAGTGGTCCGTGGAGGGCAGCCACAGATAAGTCTTAGTTCAAAGGTCTCGATGCAGTTTTTAATACTTGCTTTGGGTCCTATATCCCTCTGAGAATCAGATGAAAGCTCTTGATTCTCTCCCTCTGAAATATGCTCATATGTACTTGTTTAAATTTTCATAAAATTCTATTTGAGGTTATAATTGGATTTAAAGTCATATCTAGACTCATAATAGGCCCTCCCCAGACTTCCTAGAGAACGTGAACCCCAAAACCTTGCCCAGCTTAAAAGGCTGAAGAGAATTAAGTTTGTGTGGGAAACAGTGAAATTCTCCATTCTAGAGTTGAAACCATGTAAGCAGATGAGGAACTAAGAGTAAAAAGAACAGCAAGAGGCATAATGCTTAGGGGAGGAGGAACCTCGAGGTAAGTAAGGAGTCAGGAATGGAGATTCATTCCTGTAATTCACTCTTCCATTAAAGTAACTCAACAATTATGCAACGATTGCAGTATTTTGAGCTGTGGAAAATAATGACCAGAAAATGAATCTGAGCTTTAAAGCACTTACATTCTGGTGGACAAACATGCCAGGCAATAAAGACAGAAAACAGAAATTACAACGCCCTTAGCTAACTACCTGATGTTTTTAATATTCCCTTCCTGGAATTACTCAGTTAACAACCAGCAGTGGTCAAGGAGCCTGCAGAAAGAACCAGTCTGGTCCACCGAGAGCTCCTCTTCCGCCAGGCAGATCCCCAACCCACCCCCACCCACCTCCACGCAGAGCCTAAGGGTCTGAAACACAGAAGGGCGTATCCAGAGGCTCCTAAATCCACCTGCATTCCAAAAAGAAGCTTCTCGGAACATAAGATTCCTGTCTCCATCCAAACATTGAAAATTATAATCTCGTGGTTTGGGTTCAAGAATCTGAATTGAAAAAAGACCCCAGGCTGGTCCTGTTCCACCTAGGAGTGCTCACAATATAAAAACTATCACTCCTTATTTACAAAAGAATTCATTTGAGGCCTGGCTTTGTGAATCACAGTTATCCAAAACTGTGAACCAGAACAATGCGAAGAAAGTGTTGCCTACATACCATGAAAATATTCTCCGTGGTTAAAATCATTATAGAGCACGAGGGAACAGTCTATGATTCTTAGATATCACAGCAAGAATGAAAAAAACGCTATTCTGGTACACAGGAATTGAAAGTAGTTCAAAGGAAGAGCACATGAGAGGTCTCCACACTGCTGCTGGGGCAAATGAATAAATAATATTCTCAGCAACTCACAGGAAAAAGAGCATTTAAGATAGGCTATTATTGTCAAAACACACATGCATGTTTGACCTCACTGCCTCACTATCAACTCCTGAAGTCAAATGAACTCTTTTTCTTTACTAATTTTGGTGATTCCAATCTTTTCAGACAGCTACACCATATACAACATACGCTGACCTAGCTTGGCCAACATCCATGAAAGGTGTCCTGGTCTCTGTGACTTCCATTTGAACTACAGATTGAGACTTTATTCACAACTGCTTTTGGTCAATGTAAGTAAAAGCCTTGTGGTGCACAGGAGAGAGCAGGAATCTTATCGCAAAGTAGGAAGAAAGATTCAAAAGACCTACCTTCCCCTGCAAATCCTGATCATCCTGTCAAACTAATCAACTTTAAAACAATTTTTTACACACCAGATACGATTTCATTCTTAAAAGCTTACTTCCATTTTTGAAAATGAAAACATAAATATTCTCTCAGAAGGTCAAGACTAATCATTGAGAGCTTACTGAAATTTGAATTAACTATTACAGGAGTTCTCAAGGGAATAACTCCACATCTACTGAGGAAAAAAGGAATTATTAAGACATACAAATAAAGAGAATACTTATTCCATTTTACTACAGCATACGTTCCTTATTCAGTCCCACGTGAACAAAGTCTCATGGTGGTTACTTGACTGCTAAATAAATTAAGGTCCTCTTGACCTCACAGCTTTCTCTGGTGATATAATCAGTTTATAGAATACTTTCAAATCCTAAATCTTGAGGAAGGGAAAACAGGTTTGGTTTCATGGTTTGAGAGTTGGATGGGTTTTTTTTCCTCTTTAAAAATGGAAAACGTTTTGTAGAATTGCTTTTACACGCTAATGCCATTTAAGCCTCAATTATTTGGTTATCATCCTCCTATTTTACTGATGAGAAAGTTTAGGATAGTTAAGACAAGTACAAGATGAGTTACTTAACAAGCTTCTAAGAACAAGGGAAGGCCGGGTGCAGTGACTCATGCCTGTAATCCCAGCACTTTGGGAGGCCAAGGTGGGCGGATCACTTGAGACCAGGAGTTTGAGACCAGCCTGGCCCACAAGGTGAAACCCTGTCTCTACTAAAAATACAAAACATTAGCCGGGGCGGGGGCGGGGGCGGGGGGGGGGGGGCGTAGGCGGGGGTGGTGCACGTCTGTAATCCCAGCCACTCAGGAGGCTGAGGCATGAGAATAGCTTTGAACCCGGGAGGCAGAGGTTGTAGTGAGCTGACAACATGAAGCCACTGCACATCAGCCTGGGAGATAGAGCAAGACTCTTGAAAAAAAAAAAGAGAAAGAAAGAAAGGAAAGGAAGGAGGAAAGGAGGGAGGATTACCACCCAGATCTTCCAGCTCTAAGTCTAGAGCTGGGATGAAAGTTAGAAATACCGTCTAACTTCCATACATCCCCAACCCTTGAGTAAACCCAGATTCCTAAACAGACTATGACAGTTGATCACCTACAGCAGGGCTTAACAAACAACAACCTACAGGGCAAAGCCAGCCCACTGCCTATTTTTGTGGAACCTACAAGTTAGGAATCATTTTTACATTTGTAAGTGATTGGAAAAAAAACACAAATGTGTATTTCATGACACATAAAATGATATGAAATATACTAAGTGAATTTTACTATCCATAAGCAGTTTGAGACACAGCGCACATTCATATAGGAGTCTACGACTGCTTTTGCACTACATGAGGTGAGCTGAGTGGTTGCAACAAAGACCATAATATAACCCACAAGTCTAAAATATGTATTATCTGGCCCTTTACATTAGAAGCGTGATGTAAAGGACGCTTGTCTTTTTGTGAAAACTATGAAGTTCTAACCTACGCCGCATCAAAAATCCGTTTTTCCTCAATCCTAGCAGCTGGAAAAGTAGGGAGTAAATCTATTCCATCCTTCAACTAATAGTAACTCTTCAAATTTTGCAAGGTTCATGCTCTACCCATCTTTTCCAGGATCTGTTCCTTTATTTTTTGTTCACAAAGCCTAGTTTCAATAGCCATTTAAACATTTACTAAAGACCTATTACTACATACCAGGTTCCATGCTAAGTATTGGAGACATTTCTTTTAGGCGAGAAAACCAAGGCTCAGCAGTTGGGTAACTCACCCAAGTTCCCAGTTACTGCAGACCTGTCCTCCTACCAGACCATGTGAGTTCAAAGAAGCAAGACTTCACATTTCCTCCTGTCAATATATCCCTCTAGATTTGTGGAGCCTGAGGCCAAACAGAAAACTTCTATTTCAGTTTAGGCAGAACTGGACAAAACAAGGCAACTAACAACCCTTGACTTGGCCACAAAACATCATCTTAGTGTCTTTCCCAGCCTTGTCAGACTATCGCGTTCATTTACAATTGCGTATCACTTCTGCCCTACAGATAATACTGCCTTTATGAAAACAATACAACTCTATACCTTTAGAAACAAAACCAGGTTTCAGGGAGGCATTTTAAGCCAGTTACCATACAATCATCATCACTTACTGGGTGCTTGCCATGGGAATTTTAGGGTGGGCTTTACATATGTTCTCATGTAAACTTCATAGCTCTATAAGGGAAACACTGATCCCAATTTCACAGATGAGGAAACTGAGCTTTCAAGGCTAATTTACCCAAGGTGATAGAGTTGGAAGTCACTAACTGGGTTGTCTGACTCCAAATCTAGGCTCTCAACTGCCATGCAAAACTTTCAATGTCAACTTTCAATGGTAACATAGTCACAGTGTTGCCTACAAGTAAAAGAAAAGTTACAAATTTTGCCTTGAAAGATACTGACCACTACATATTTACTACACATACTTAAATTTATCACCTGAACTATACTTCTATAATACCTTTTTTTCCAAAACTAAAATAAAACTCAGAATCAAAAGTTCAATTGTGCAGGTGTATCATTTATTTGCAATATACTTACTTCCTCCCCAACAGACACTCCTTGAAAGCATGAACCATTCTCACACCTCAGTATTTCCCCATGAAACCTCCATATGGCAAGCATTCAATAAACGTTAAATGAACACAAACTTAGTACAAAATGTTACTCATTAATAACTTCTGTTAGGAACAGAAACCTGAAGATATAGAATAAGCACAGAAGGAACTAAACTTAGTTCATAATATACTAATGGGAAATGTGCTGTCTTCAGAATCATTCTTACACACATAGGATACAACTTACGTATAAGGTGCTACTCTCATCCACTGATGGAACTGATTATGTAATCATACTCATAAAAGCAAATGCCAAGAGTGAACACTCATGACTAAACAACCAAAGAATGATCTAATGTAGAAACTAAAATCCCCCATACCCTCATGCTATGTACTTCCCCCTGTACAGACTTCACCTGGAAGACCTCAACCTCAAACATCCTAGCCTCCATTTCTGTGTCTTCCAGACACACAACACTTTCCTTCCTAGAAGGAAAGCTCCTGAGAACAGGGAGATTTTTCTTCTTTTACATCCCCAAATGACCTAAAATAGTATCCTGAATACAGCGGGGCACAGCTAATGTGTAAAATGGTTGAAAAGAATGGAACATTTTCAGTACCAGCTAAGGTATACTGACCACATACAATGTAAGGAGAAGCAACAACCTTACCCTTAATTCTACAGATGGCAGCTTCCTCCTGAGAACTTCTGCAAACACTTGCTCTTAAAAAGCAACAAAAAAGTTGCTAGAAGACTAACATCGCAGACAACAAAGCTCTATTCTATGCCAACAGCAATAATACGCCCATAAGAGAAGACAACTGAAAGGATCCCTGGGGCCACAGGGCTCTACTTGTTACAGATGCTTCCTTAAGTCCCTCAACACCCAGGTCCCTAAACGCATCATAAAGGTGAGTCTAGAGAGTCTTCGCAAGTTTTAAGTCTCTTAGGAACTTATTTATAAATACATGTGAAACAAGAGAATCATTTATCCAGAAGAACAGAAAGCCTTCCAAACTTCTGTACTCCCAGGAAGTCTACTTTGAAATACGTCAAAAGAAGTTACATGGAGACATACAAAACATGTCTAAAGATCCAAATTGGTAACTCTCAAACTTGAAGCTGGTTTAAACCCATCGACCAGAACTTACAGTTCTGGCTATGCCCTTCTCATTTGCAACGCTGCGGCGCAAATGAATGACGGTGTATCAGCGTTAAATTTAAATTTCCTGGCTCTGGCCACAATGCTAACCTAATTAAAGCATGTGGTCAACGTTTAGCATTTTCGGTGCGAGATTTTGCATCGCTTTGGCGAACAGCAAAGTCGAAAGCGTTTGCACCGGTCTTCTCCCCGCCACCCCCCGACCAGGGGCAAAACCCTCTCCCAAATGCTTTATCAAATGATCCAGAAACCCCCCCACACCCCACCCCCCGTACCGCCCACGGTCCCCGCCGAGCGGCAACGGAGGCACCACTTCCACGACCCACGCCAAGAGCACTTTGAGCTCAGTCCGAGCAAGTCACTTGTGTCAGCACCACTTCCCCACGGCTGGGACCCCCCCCCCCACCCCACGCCCGGCAACTTCAGGACCCCCCGGCCGGGGCCCCTCGGAACGGAGGCTCGGGCTCCCCTCACACACATTTCCCGTCCAGCAAACTGCGGCCGCGGCGGGGGAGGGGACGCGGCGGGCGCGGGCGGCGAGCGGGGCCGTCGGGCGGCGCGGCCGGGCCGGGAGGGGCGGCGGGCGGGGGGCGGCCCGAGGCCGGGGGGAGGGGAGGTACCTCGTACAGCTCCTCGGAAGCCATGGTGGGCGGCGGAGTTGCGGGCGGGAGGGGCAGGGTCGGGGCGGGCGCCGGCGCCGGGCGGCCGACACTTTGTTTCAGTTGGGTCCTGCGTGGCCTGCGCTTCCTGCTCCCGCGGCCGGCCGGGCGCTGGGCACGGACGAGCCTCTTGCACTCCGCGGCCAGTGCGGGCCGGCGGCGCGGCGGGGTTGTGCGCAGGAGCAGCTACGCAACGCGCCCTGGGCGCCCCGCGCTCACTCCCCGGCGGGCCGGCTCGCGCTCGGGCTCATCGCGCCCCGCCGCGGGGCCGGGCGGGCTGGGGCGGGCGCGGCGGCGTGCGGGCGGCGCGGCCGGATCGCGGCTCCCCTCTCCGGTGTAGTGCAGAAAGCTTCCTACTTGCGACCAAAAAACCTGCCCCGGCTACTGAGCATGCCCAGTGCGGCCGCCCGGCCCTGCGGAGCCGCGCTCCCGCGCTCCGGGTTTTCGGGCCGCCCGCGCGGGAGGGGCGGGGCGGCGGCGGGGCGGGGCAGCCGAGGGGAGCAGTGGGCTCCGCTCGGGGCCGAGGCGGGCGGCCGGCGGGGCCGGGAGCGAGCCGGCAGGAAGGGGAGGAGCGGGGCAGTCGGGGGCGGGGCCGCGAGCGCGGGGGGCGGGGTGGTGGGCGGGGCTCCGACTTCCCCAGTCCCGCTTGCGGGGTCGGCCTGGCCCGCGGCACCGCCCCCCAGCCCGCCTCGACGTGGGCGCTTGCGGCCCGGCCCAGGGCAGGCGGGACCTGGACCTCGAGGTTCGAGGCGCAGCGCGGTTGTGCACACCAGGACGGGCAGCGACGGACCCGAGATGGGGCAGGGAACCATGCGAGCGAGCCGGCCCGCGTCTGGAGCCCACCGCCCCGACGGCAGCGGCCGCGCCGTCTACCGCGCGCCTCCCTCCAGGAGGAGCCCAAGAGGCGGCCTCCGTGCGCCCGCCCGTCCGGGGCCGGGCCAGCCCGCGAAGGGCCGGCGGCGTGGCCAGGTGGAGCACCCACCCCACCCCATGCCCGCCCCACCGGCCGCCGCCAAGACCCGGAGCCCGGGCCGCGCGCCCCGCGGGGTGGCCCGGCGAGCTCCGGCTGGCACGCTGGCTCCGCGGCAGGCCGGGGGTGGGATCCGGGGGGCGGGAGCCGGGCGCGGCGGAGGGCGGCGCGAGGGCGCGGCTGCCTCCGCTCTGCCCGCAGCTCCCCCCACGCCAGGCCTCTGGGTTCCTCTCGGAGCGTCCGCCTCCTCCGAAGCGCAGCTGGGAAGGGACCGAGTCTGGATTCCAGGGAGGTCCGGGTTCTAATCGAACGAGGCTGTCAATGGTGGTTCCTTTCGCGGAACGGTGTGGACTACACGACAGGCCCTCGCTCAGAACAGCGAGGGCTGGCCCGCGCTCCACTTCCCAGGGAAGATCTACTGCCAGGGCACACCTGCCGGGCCCTGGACGTGCCCCATCGGTGGCGAAAGAAGGGGCTTCCTGACCCAACTCCCCCAGACAGCCGCCAACTCCGATCACTCTGGCCGAGTATGCGGAACTTCCCCACGGGGCACTGCAGAGGCATTAGTTCACCCTCTCCCCCAGGCCCTGCATCGGGAAGCCCTCGCCAGTTCCTCCATGTCTCCCCGGGCATCCTTCGGGCCGCCTCACTCCTCCGTGCTCCATCTCGCTCCAGTTCCTAACCTACCTTGGAGCCACAAGGCTCCTCCCACCAGTTTTCTTCCTAAAGCCCTATTCGTTTGTGCCCCCCAACAGCGTTTCAACAACCACGGGGCGTCTCACAGACCCCGCGGTTTCCTGTCCTCCCCACGCCCAGGAACAAGCACCACGCCAACCCTTAAGTCACTGCGAGTCGAATCGCCGTTCCCCTTAAGCGGTGCTTCTACCTGCGGTCCCCACCGTTTGAAACAAACTCCCAGCTCAGGGATCACCTTAAAAGGATAGCCTTCCTGACTTCCAGGGCCAAATCGGTAACTCCCTCTTCAAGCGCTGCCTAAGCACTCACGCGTGCTCACTGCAGCACTCGTCTCTGTATTTTAAGGTTTGTCTACTCTTCACCCCACCCCAACTCCAAACGATGACCTTCAGTCAGACTTCATCTTCAAATTTGACGCTGGCCCCTAGCACCATTCTCTATACAGGAAATAAGGTGTTGTTCAATGAATGGAATTTCAGTGTCCACGAGAAAGCCCAATACCTACACATCCAATTCCCATTATCAAATGTTTGCACAAGAATCGCAAATTAAAGCCACCACTTCATCAACTGGTCAAGGCGCCTCAAGCTCTGCCTCTTTCCCTGATGGCCCAGCCAATTCCCTCTCCCTCCTCCAAACAGCGCCTCTTTCCTCTCACTTAGCATTTCCATTATATGCTGCATTTCATTGTTGCCTTCTCTCTAGGTTTACCAATTTATCAACAAAAGTTGTAAGTTCCTTGAAGGCAAGGACTAGGATTTTATACATTTGGGAAATCTCAAAGCATTGAGTGCACACTTCGGCAAGCGCTCAAATACTGGCAGGTGATAGTTTAAAATCCCTCAAGAAAAATCAACTGTAAAAAAGAGATCCTCAATAGGAAATAGATACATATAACATATAAGCCTATTATGCAATGATGGACCAATACAAATACAAGCACTTCTCGCCATGACCATTACTCCAATTATTGCCCCCTTCAGAACATCCACAAGCTTAGGCATTCACAAGGGGCTCCACCATGTGCGTAATGGTACTGTGGTCTCCAAGGAGTCTCCAAAACTGCCATTGTTGCCCAGGAGAGGGAAAGAAAGGAACATAGACATCCACAACAAACATATCCAGATATTGAGCTAGTAAGGCGATTTTCCCCATTGTGGAAACAAAAAGGGGAAGAATTATAGCCTCAAAAAGGCAACTCAAAAATGTCAATTTACATAGACCTTTGTCAATTTACGTAGCTTTTCAATCTTGACAATCTGGAATGTTTATGCTGCTATCCTTAGTCTACAACATTAAGAGTAACCACCAGTAGCCTCTAAAACAAAGCAGGAGTGAGCCATACTCCTAAGTTCCAACCACCTCTCCACTCTGACAGTTGGCTTCCACTGGCGAAGGAGATGGGTATCCACCTAGCGACTGAGAAATTGAGGAAGTTCTCAATTGTCCACTTTGTTCCTTTCATCTGCCCTCCATTTAAAACTCACTGATTTATGGAATGCTATTTTGCTTATATATACATATATATTTTAACCTCATTCGTTCAATTTGTCTTACTTTTAAGCAAACTTTGCTTTCCTCCGTCACTTTTTTATATAAACATTTTACCAGCACTCATAGCAGAAGTAAATATGCCCAAGATTATTTAATGACTTGGAATTTCCACCACCTTTTATGAAACAGTGAAGTTCTGTAGTTTCCATGACCACGTGTGTGGGTGCTATTATTTTCTCAGTGGCTTAAGAATAAAAGTGAAATCACATCCCCTAAGCACACCGGGAAGATTGCAGCAAAAATACATACAGCACAATACCATGCACTAGTAAGACATATGACTCTTAAAAGATTAGAGAAGTGGTCAACAAGAGAGACGATATACACACATGATTAAAAGACACGTCTACCAGCAATAAACGATTCTTACCTGACCTGCTCCCGTTGTTGTAGGCCAACATAATTCAATTCTCTCCTCCTCAAATCCAAACAATTGATCATCGATGGCAAGTTCTACCGACGATAAGACTCTTCAGATCAAGAATCACAGCCTCTTCCCATCTCGGGAGAATGATAACTAAAACCTGAAATCTGAGATCCTCCTCTTTTCCCAATCACCAGCCAAACCAGGCATGTCTTCCTTTCTCCCAAGAATCTGCATTTCATCTACATTTGAATCCAAAGGCATCCAAGGGGAGATGGGGGATGGGACAGAAAAAAACAAAAGAAGCCAAAATCTAGCTACTACTATTCTCAGAGCCAAAGGCGTTTTATGGTTGGGTAGCTGTGAAAAGCTACTGATAATGATTCCCTTCAACAGTTTTGTACCCCCAAAGCATATTCTATCCTGGTTACCTCCTCCATAACCCAAAATTTAATTGTGATTTTTATGAAGATGCGACCTAAGTTTGTTGGTTTTAAACCCACAGTGGCTGAAGGGAAATTAAATGCCGTTCTTGTCATAGAGTATCTACTCCAGAAAACTTGGTGGAATTTCCATCTCAATCACCCACTCAAAAGAAAGAACATTTTAAACCTGAGACCCAAAAGAAAGAAGCATACAGAACCATTTATAAGATTAATTCAGATGTTAGGGGCCTTGTCTGAACTGGGAGCCAACCAGTTCTTCCTTCCCTAAAAGCTTAGAGTGGATACCAGTACCTTTTTCTGGTCAACCAATAACAGCTGATTCCTTTTTTCAGTCACTGTTGCCTTCCCTGCCCAAACAGTCAGTTTCCCCATTTCGAGGGGCAGCCTCTCCCTGCCGCCCTCCATGTTGGTCCCAGGTAGGTACCATTTCTCTCTTTCATATAGAAGCCAGTAGCCAGCTGCCACACTGCTGCTCCTTGGCCAGATATCACTAGTTGTTTCATCTCTTTGCCCTCGTGATGCCAATTCTGAGACCTCTTAACATTTGATTTCACCAATTTCATCTTAGGCTGTGATACCATCACTGGCCGGAGCTCATCAATCTACAATTAAGGATCATTTGCTTTTTCAACTAGATTTAGTGTTTAAGTACGGTTCCTTTTTCTATTTAGCTAATGGTGTTCTACCAAGAGAATCCTTGTAATATGTACTTGTTGAACTTTTTTTGATTAAAGTAATGAGCAAGAGCAAGGAAGTTTTTCATTGATAATTTTATACATTACCCCATTTTTGGAAAGCAAAAAGACCAAAAATCATAAAGAGGAAATAGGCACAGGTATTCCCATAATTTTGGTTGACTTTATGCCAAGGCAGTAACTAACTCATTTTGGATCCCTGGAAAAAAACAGCAAGTACTGTTTAACTTTCCCTTGAATTATTGTGATGATTAATTGCATTTGTCTCTCAAGTCAGACCATCCCAGTATCGTCTTTACCTTTCCATTTCTAGACAGAGAGAGAAAGAGAGAGAGAGAACAACTAGGCAAGAGATGAGTGTGGACATTTTGACTGGTAAGGAAAATAGAAACACAAGACCCACCAGAAGTGGGGGAACCCAGAATTATCCCAGGAGCAGGTGGATGTTGAATCTAAAGCAAAGTGTAAATGAGTTGGAAGATTGGGGCCAGACCAGCACTTGGAGGCGCTTAGTGGGGCTTGATTTTTTTTCAATCACTAGTATTGTCTAGTGTAGAAGTTCTCAAAGTGTGGTTCCCCAAACTAGCAGCAACGGCATCACCTTGGGACTTGTTCAAAGTGCAAACACTCAGCTGGACGTGGTGGCTGACGCCTGTAATCCCAAAACTTTAGGAGGCCAAGGCAGGTGGATCACCTGAGCTCAGGAGTTCCAGACCAGCCTGGCCAACATGGTGAAACCCCATCTCCACTAAAAATACAAAAATTAGCCGGGTGTGGTGGCATGTGCTTGTAATCCCAGCCACTCGGGAGGCTGAGGCAAGAGGATCACTTGAACCCGGGAGGCAGAGGTTGCAAGGACCCGAGATAGCACCACTGCACTCCAGCCTGGATGGCAGAGCAAGACTCCATCCCCCCCGCCAAAAAAAAAAGTGCAAATTCTCTTACCCTCTCACCTACTGGAACTAGAAACAGTATTAGAGAGCATCCATCACTTTACTAGGAATGACCATTGTGTAGTAAAATTTTGTTTCCATTATACATATACACAAATATTTAGGCATGTATATATATGCTTATATATGCACGCACATATATTATTGTGTACTAAGTCATAATGTAAAATGTATTTCTTACATTTTGAGCTAGGGCAAGAAGTTTAAAAGCCAATGTTTTGAAACCAGGTAACAAACCCCTGCAAAGGTGGATTGTTAATTATCTATGAATGATATTGCTGTAGTGCACAGCAATTTTCTTAAATGATTTAATGATTCCTTTTTTGTAGTACACATTACTTCTCCATAACTACTACAGAAGTGTTCAGATCACGTTCCTTTCTGAATTACACATATCCCAGAGTGATATATTTTGAACGAATCAGAATAGTATGCATTTTAGGCCTTATCTTTCCACACAATGTAGAAGATTTTCCAAAGAATATCCCTAACAGACTAAACAAAATGAATGTGAAGTTTAATTTGGTCAACAGCAACATTAAAAAAATAATAAATAAACACAAACAAGAAGCACTTACCCTGTTCCAGGAACTGTTCTAAGCACTTTACAAATATTAAGCTATTTAATTCAGCAAGCACCTAATAAAAATCATAGCTAACATTTACAAAGAACCGTAATAAGTAAGCACATTCGTCCACAAAGCGCCTTTGGAGTGGGCATTTTTATTGACCCCATTCCTAGTAAGTGGGGAAGCTAAACTTCATCAGGTCCAGGTAACACTAGGGTCTAAGTTTTGAATCATTAAGTTATAGTCACTCAATAAATACTTATTGACCATTTATTGTATGCCAGGCACCTTGCTACTCAATGTACATACAATCATCCCTGCTCTCACGTAGCTGGCAATCTATTAGGATAGATAGACATTAAGTTGTCAGGAAAAAAAAAATGTTGGCCCGGCGCCATGGCTCACGCCTGTAATCCCAGCACTTTGGAAGGCCAAGGCTGGTGGATCACGAGGTCAAGAGATTGAGACCATATCCTGGCTAACATGGTGAAACCCCATCTCTTCTAAAAATACACACACACACACACACACACACACACACACACACACACACACAAATTAGCCGGGCGTGGTGGCGGTCGCCTGTAGTCCCCGCTACTTGGGAGGCTGAGGCAGGAGAATGGCGTGAACCCTGGAGGCGGAGCTTGCAGTGAGCCGAGATCGCGCCACTGCACTCCAGCCTGGGCAACAGAGCGAGACTCCGTCTCAAAAAACAAAAACAAAAACAAAACAACAACAAAAAAGTCTTAACTACCAATCAAAGAAAATGGCAGGAAGCTGTTGAGCCCAGGCCACCTAGAGATGAGTCTGGTTTGCTGCTTCCCCAGAGACAGTGCCCAGCACCCCGTGGGCACACTGGACATGCTTGGGTACCAGCAAAGCAGAATCATTGAAAAATTATTTTCAAATAATTTGATATTTTAAAACTAAGTAGCCATCATGCGAGAGATCAACATTTTGACTTTTACGCAATTGCTTTACATTTAGCATTTTAAAAAATGAAATACTAGATATGCAAAAAGGCATAAAGAAAAATACAACAAGGCCTATGTACCCACTCCCCAGCTTAAGCAAAATATGATTTCCGTATTCAGACCAATACTTGGCAGACTTTTAAATAATTTATGAGAAGTAGGAGGGATACCATATTCTATTCACTATTTAGAGGTTATTTAGTTGTTGATGTTTTTCATACAGATTTAGATTTTAACAGATTTAGATTTATAGAAAAATTGCATATATAGTAGAGAGTTCCCATACCCAGTTTTCCCCATTACATTTAGTCAGGTATACATGGCACAATTAGTGAACCAATATTGATACAGTATTATTAACTAAAATACACGCTTTATTCAGATTTCCCTAGTTTTTACCTAATTTTCTTTTTTCTGCCCCGGGATCCCATCTGTGACGCCGCATTACCTCTATTAATAGTTCTCCTGTCTCCTTACGCTTCTCTTGGCTATGGCAGTTTCTTAGGCTTTTCTTGTTTTTGATGACCTTGACAGTTTTGAAGAGTACATTTTGTGAAACGTTTGCAGAATGTCCTCAACTGGAATTTGTCTGATATTTGTCTCATGATATGATTTGACTGGGCTTTTGTGTTTGGGGGAGGAAGACCACAGAGGTAAAATGCCATTCTCATCACATTGTATCAAGGATACCTACGATCAACATGACTTCACTGCTGATGTTGACCTTGATCACCTAGCAAATACAGTGCTTGTCAGATTTCTGCACTGAAAACTTACTGTTCTCCACTCCCAGCCCCTGTCCCTTTCCATACTGTAGTGTTTGGAAGGGAGTCACTTTGAGCAGCCCACACTTAAGAAATGAGGATTATGTTTCCCCTCGAGGGCAGAGTGTCTACAAAAAGTATCTACAATTCTTCTGCATAGGAGATTTCTCTCTTCTCCCCCACTTATTAATTTATTCATTTTTTATATCAATTGAGACTCATGGATTATTTTATACCCTGGATTATAATCCATAATGCATTATTTATTTCCTTGATCAGATTCTCTAGCTTTGGCCACCGGGAGCTCTTTCAGTTGACTTCTGTGCATCTTTGACATACTCTCATCATGAGGCGGTGTATATTTTGATCACTTCCTTACTTTCTGGCATTGTAAGATGCTGCAGGCTCATCTTGTATATTTTCTGCTCCAGTCCTAGAATCAACCATTTCTCCAAGGAGCCTTGGTTCCTCTTTGTTGAAAAATCATATTAGAAAGCAAGTTCTGGGTGTTAGATGTGTTTATTGTGACTGAGGCTATTCCCTATTTGTGATTAGGTTGTCCCTGAACTAGCGAGCTAAAATCTAAAGGATGAATTAGGTGAAGAGGGCATTGGAAATGGTCCCAGGCTTAGGAAAGGGCTTTTTCCAAAGGCCTAGATGTGGAAGTTGCATGACACCTTTGAGACTCTGAAAATGCTGGTGAAGCCAGAATGCAGACAACAGGAAGGGAGACATAAGATGGGATGGAGAGGCAGGCAAATCTGGTAGCTCATGACCAGGTCCTGGGTCTCTTCATCAATAATCTGACTTATATTTTTTAAAAGTTTGGCTCTATGAAGAGAAAGTGGTTGGAGGAGAGTGGTTAGGGAATTATTGCAATATTGCATTAAATTTGATGTTTTTACATTTTGTTTAGATATCAAATCATTTCAAAATAAAGTTTTGGTGGACCTGCTTCGCTGATGCCAACTGCATATGCAGCATGCCTATAAAGTGAGGGACACTGCACTTAGGACCTCCAATATGACATTGAGTAAAGTGGATACCAGGTCTTGATTTTTATTACAGAGGGAAAGCTTTTACCATTAGGGATGATATTTGCTGAAGGAATTTTGTAGGCCTATTTAATTAGATTAAGGCAGTTCCTTTCCATCCTAGTTTCCCTCTGCTCCCCTCCCCTCCCCTCCCCTCATCTCGCCTCTCCTCTCCTCTCGAGGGTGTCTTACTCTGTCACCCAGGCTGGAGTGCAGTGGCACAATCTCAGCTCACTGCAACCTCCACCTCCTGGGTTCAAACGATTCTCCCGCCTCAGCCTCCCAAGTAGCTGGGATTATAGGCGCACGCCACCACGCCTGGGTAATTTTTGTATTTCTGGTAGTGATGGGGTTTCACCATGTTGGGCAGGCTGGTCTCAAACTCCTGAGCTCGTGATCCACCTGCCTCAGCCTCCCGAAGTGCTAGGGTTACAGGTGTGAGCCACTGCGCCCAGTCTCCATCCTAGTTTTCTAAACTTTTTTTTTTTTTATCATGAATGAATATTGAATTTTGTCATCTACTGAAATGATCAAATGATTTTATTCCTTCATTTTGTAAATGCATTGACATATTTATTTTTAATTTTAAGCCAAATTTCTTTTTCTGGAATAAACCAAATAAAGTTTTTATGCATTATCCTTTTCATAAATGGCTAAATTTGGTGTGCTAATAATATGTTTAGGATTTTGAATCTATGTTCATGAGGAAGATTCACCTGAAATTTTTCTTTCTTGTTAATTTTTTTTTTAGACAGGGTCTCACTTTGTCACCCAGGCTGGAGTACAGTGGTAAGATCTTGTGTACTGCAGCCTCAACCTTCTGGGCTCAAGTGATCTTCCCACATCAGCTCCCCCCAAGTAGCTGAGACTACCGGTGAACGCCACCATGCCCGGCCAACTTTTTTTTTGTGGAGAACAGGGTTTCACCAGATTGCCCAGGCTGGTCTCGAGCTCCTGAACTCAAATGATCTGCCAACCTCAGCCTCCCAAAGGCTAGGATTACAGGTGTGAGCCACTGTGCCCGGCCTCTTGTCAGATTTTAATATCAAGGTTATGGAGATCTCATAAAATAAGTTGTCATGTACTTCCTCTTTTCCAATTTTTAGTTTGTGTATGAATGCCATTATTTCTTCTTTTGATACCTGTATGCATTTGCTTATAAAGCCACCTGGGTCTGGAGCATTCTTACTGGAAGACTTTAAATTATAGATTCAAATTCTTTAATAAAGAAATATTCAGGGCCGGGCGCCATGGCTCACACCTGTAATCCCAGAACTTTGGGAGGCTGAGGCAGGTGGATCACCTGAGGTCGGGAGATCGAGACCATCCTGGCTAACATGGTGAAACCCTGTCTCTACTAAAAATACAAAAAATTAGCCAGGCATGGTGGCACATGCCTGTAATCCCAGCTACTCAGGAGGCTGAGGCAGGAGAATCACTTGAACCCAGGAGGTGGAGGTTGCAGTGAGCCAAGATCATGCCATTGCACTCCAGCCTGGGCAACAAGAGTGAAACTCCATCTCAAAAGGAAAAAACAAACAAACAAAAAAGGAATATTCAGGATTTCTATTTCTTTCTGTGTCAATTTGTCCATTTCATCTAAATTTTCAAAGTTAATAACATAAAATTGTTCATAAAATTTTAGTATTTGTAGGATCTCTAATAATATTCCCATTTTAATTATTGAAAATACGTATCATTTCTCTCCTTGTTCTTTATCAGTCCTGCCATGGGTATATTAATTTATTAGTCTTCTGAAAATACCAATTTTGAGCTTTTTTGGTTCTTTGTATGGTATGTCTACTCTATTTAATTACACTTCTATCATTATTATTTCCTTTGTTTTATTTGTTATTCATTTTCTAATTTCTTAAGATGACTTTGTTCAACAGGCATGGTGGCTCATGCCTGTAATCCCAGCACTTTGGGAGGCCAAGGTGGGTGGATCACCCGAGGTCAGGAGTTCGAGACCAGCCTGGCCAACATGGCAAAACCCCATCTGTGCTAAAAATACAAAAATTAGCCGGGTGTGGTGGCATGCACTTGTAGTCCCAGCTACATGGGAGGCCGAGGCAAGAGAATCACTTGAACCTGGAAGGCAGAGGTTGCAGAGAGCTGAGATTGTGCCACTGCACTCCAGCCTGCGCGACAGAGCAAGACTCTGTATCAAAAAAAAAAAAACGGGAAACAAAAAAGATGACTTTGTTCATTGATCTTCAGTCTTCTTTTCAAATGTATGAATTAAAACCTATAAATTCCCCTGCATCCCACAAGTCTTAATAGTTTGTATTTTTATTATTATTTAGTTGAAAATATGTTATAATTTCCATTGTGGTTTCTTCTTTGAGCCACATGTTATTAGAAAGATATTTTAAAATTTCAAAAAATAAGGATTTTCTAGTTATTTTTATTTGTCTTTTTTTTTTTGAGACGAAGTCTCCCTCTGTCACCAAGGCTGGAGTACAGTGGTGCGATCTCAGCTTACTGCAACCTCTGCCTCCCGGGTTCAAGTGATTCTCATGCCTCAGCCTCCCTAAGTAGCTGGGATTACAAGTGCCCACCACCATGCCTGGCTGATTTTCTGTACTTTAGTAGAGATGGGTTTCGTCACATTGGCCAGGCTGGTTTCAAACCCCTGACCTCAGTTAATCCACCCACCTTGACCTCCCAAAGTGCTGGGATTACAGGCGTGAGCCACCACACCCAGCCAATTTCTGGCTTAATAACATTGTAGTGAAAGAATATAATCTGTAGAATTTCAATCCTTTAAAATTTGTTAACACTTATGTCACAAAATTGCTTAAGTTTTATACATATTTTATGTGGTACTTCAAAAGACTATGTATTTTTTAGTTGTTATGCAGTGTTTTCTCTCTATTATATATATGTGTGTGTGTTTAATTTTGCTGTATTTTACTGTTTATGTTGTTCAAATATTCTATTAGTTACTGGGACAGGTGCATTAAAATATCCCAACATGACTATGAATTTGTCTAAGCCTTTCTGTGTAGTTTTTGCTTTGCATATTTTTAAACTATGTTTCTAGGTACATACAAGTTTAAAATTGTTATAATCTATCTGGTGAAGGAAGCATTTTGTCATTATAAAGACACCAATAATGCTTTTTACATTGTCTACTTTGATATTAAGATACCTACAACTGACTGGGTGCAGTGGCTCACGCCTGTAATCCCAGCACTTTGGGAGGCTGAGGTGGACAGATCATGAGGTCAGGAGCTTGAGACCAGCCTGACCACCATGGTGACACCCCACCTCTACTAAAAATGCAAAAATTAGCCAGGCGTGGGGGTGTGCGCCTGTAATCCCAGCTACTCAGGAGGCTGAGGCAGGAGAATCTTTTGAACCTGGAAGGCAGAGGCTGCAGTGAGCCGAGATCATGCCATTGCACTCCAGCCTGGGCAACAGAGCAAGACTCCATCTCAAAAACAAAAAACAAAAAATGAAAAAAAACCTACAACCAAATTTCTTTTGTGTTTGTATGATAGCTAAATCTTTCTCCAAATGTGTTTTTTAAACTTTCTGGATTCTTAAGTTTTACATGTCTCTTACAATTAACACTTTTATTTTTTAATCCAGTTTGATAATCTTTGTCTTTTAATTGGGATATTTAGTCCATTTACATTTAAAGTAATTACTGGTATGTGTAATTTTGATTCTACGTATAATTCTAGGTATTATTCAATATGTTCTATTTTTCCTACTTGTTCTGTTTCTTTTTCTTTCCTTCATTGATTTGTTCCAGACTGATTGAGAACTTTACAACAAATTTTTCTTTTTTGGGGTTGGGGGATGGAGTCTCACTCTGTTGCCCAGGCTAGAGTGCAGTGGCATGATCTCGGCTCACTGCAACCTCTGCCTCCCGGGTTCAAGTGATTCTCCTGCTTCAGCCTCCTGAGTAGCTGGAACTATAGGCACACGCCACCATGCCCAGCTAATTTTTGTATTTTTAGTAGAGATGAGGTTTCACTATGTTGACAGGGCTGGTCTTGAGTTCCTGATCTCAAGTGATCCGCCCATGTTGGCCTCCCAAAGTGCTGGGACTACAGATGTAAGCCACCGCGCCTGGCCCTACAAAAAAATTATTCTATTATTTTTCTCCTTATTACCTGGAAAGCCATATATTCCTTTAAAATATATACAGTAATAACCCTAAATATTAAGTGTGTCTTTTTCTTAACTAAATGTAATACCAATACTTTTATTTTTTTCCTGGACAAGAAACTTAGAACACTTTACACCATTTATTCCATGTCCTACTGACCCATGTTCCAACACCACTAATTCTATATTCCATCCTTATTGTTGCTTTGTGTTTTAATTCTTCATTTTAATTGCTAAAAATTATTATAATTATTGGCTTATGCAATCAATATTTATTTAGAGTCACCTACATATTTAACTCATTATTTTGTCCTTTGGTTTTTTTGTTTTGTTTTGTTTTTACTGTATCTCCAAGGCTGGATATTTTCCTTCTGCTATAAAAACATCTAATATTTGCTTTAGTTTGTCTAAAAAGTTATTTATTTTACCTTTTTATGGAAGGCTATATCAGCTGGTATAGAATTTCAGTGGCAATTTTCTTACTTTTGCTCAGTGCTTTTAGTATATTTTATAGTCTCCTACTTTCAATTGTTTCCATTGAGAAATCTGCTATATTTTTGCTCCTTTGAAGGTAATCTATCTTTCTTCTCTTGCTATTTTTACCATTTTCTCTTTGTCTTGGGTTTTCAGCAGTTTTACTATGATGTGTTTAGGTATTCGTTTGTGTATTTATCCTGGTTGGGTTTCCTAGGATTTATAGAGTCTTTGAATTATTTTACCAGCTTGCAAAATTTTGTCAGCCATTATCTCTTATTATTGCTGCTACCTCAGTCTCTTCTTCCCTTCTGAGTTTCCAATGAACGTATGTTACAGCTTTTCACTACAGTCCTATGCGTTGTATTATCATTTCTGATTTTTCTATTATTTTGTTTTTCTACTACATTCTGGGTACTTTCTCCTGATCTATCTTTTGGTTTACAAATTCTTGCTTTAATTGTGTCTCATCTGCTCTTAAACCTTTTTTTTTTTTTTTTTTTTTTTTGGTACCCTTTAATCTGGAATATCCTTTTGATTTGTTATTGAGTTTTTGTTGTTGTTGTTCTTGGTTGAAATTCTTAATCTTGTTGGATTTTTTTTTAATCTCTTTGACCTGAATAAGATCATTAGTTTGAAGTCAGTGTGCAAACTCTAACACCTGTAGCCTCTGTAGGTCTGTTTCTATTGTCTGCTGTATCTATTGATATTAGTTCATGTTATTTTACTCCTTGTGTGTCTGATTATTTTTTATTATGTGCCAGATATTGGATCTACAAAATGTAGAAATATATTTGAGGTCTGAGATGATGTTATATTTCTCCAGAGAGGATATGTTTGTTCCTGCCAGCTGCCTAAGTGCTCAAACACTAAAATGTCACCTAAAATCAATTTCATGGCTTGAAAGAATTAAAAGCTAAGCTGTAGTCTCTAGGGGTGCTTACTTCTGAATTACTCTTTTCCTTAAGGTCCTTCAGAGTTTTAATCCAGTGTGAGAAGAGTTCATCCACCAGGACTCCCATCCCTTGATGGAAACTGAGCACCAATCCCTGTCACCTTAGATCTTTGTGGCTTTCAAAATCATAACTCAGCATGTTGTTCTCTCCGCCTTCTGGTCTTGCTCACAGGGGAAAAACATACAGAAACTCCGGGCTCACCTCCATGGGCTTCCAAGCTTCCCCACCCTAGCTCAGTGTTTTTAAACATCTTATTAGTTCTCTACTGCTTTGAATCAGATTCTTAAAATGCTTTTCCCCCAGCTTTCTTAGTTGTCCTTAGCAGGAAGCTCAATCACACTTATTTAGTCTGCCATTACTGGAAATCTGATTTAACCTTTATGACAATTCTATAAAACAGATATTATTTCCATCTTACAGAGAGGAAACAGGTTGAGAATAATGAAAGAATGGGACCAATACAAATACAGCTTATTTTGCTAATTAGAGTAGGTGGTCTTTGGGTATTTGAATACTACCACATAAGTAGTCACCTTTAACAATTCTGGGGAAAGTGGGCCGGGCGTGGTGGCTCATGCCTGTAATCCCAGCACTTTGGGAGGCTGAGGCAGGCAGATCACAAGGTCAAGAGTTCAAGACCAGCCTGGCCAACATGGTGAAACCCTGTCTCTATTAAAAATAGAAAAATTAGCCGGGCGTGGTGGCGGACGCCTGTAATCTCAGCTACTCAGGAGGCTGAGGCAGGAGAATAGATTGAACCCGGGAGGTGGAGTTTGCAGCGAGCCGAGATTGTGCCATTGCACTCCAGCCTGGGTGACAGAGCAAGACTCAGTCTGGGGAAAAAAAAATCATGGGGAAAGTCACTCTCACCAAAAATATTTCTGTGATTGACCCTCTCATGGTACCTTATATTCCTATATTAAATTATCCCTCGAGATACAGCTTTGAAAGGATATGTTTAAAGATCTGTTTAACACATATGTAACTGGAGAGTGCTCAATCTTGGTCTTTATCTGCCGCCAAGAGCTTATCTCAACTGGCTCTCAGGTTGTAGAAATAGTTTTTATGAAGTGTGTACAATAGTTGGGAGCAAAAACAATTTTGCCACAGTTACTTTGAACATTTCTATAAAAGAGAGTCTTAGAGTAATATTATAACATAGTTGGAAATATAGTCAGAAGAGTGGGCTGGATCCTGGAGTTACGTAACACTTTGCATCAAATTGAGAACATGCTAAATTTCCACTACAAGGAATAGGACAAGGACAATAGACTTTATCTACGGGGGTTGGGATGCGGCTGGGAGTTGGGTTGGTTGAGAGAGAATCCCAGAAAAAAAAAAAAATCCCAGAAGGCTCACTGATTTATCTAGTTTTGTTTGTTGGTTTTCTGGCAGTTACTCTTATCTTTGACAGTTCTATCTATATTAAGCCCAGATTTCTCCCTTTCTACTGCAATTGTTTTAACCAAGTATTTTCCTTTCTTGTCAGGCTTCCTCTTGGTCCTTTTATGCCAATTTCCTCATAGCGTAGGTCCAGATTTCTCACTCTGAAGAGCTCTATTTCACATAGACCTTTTTCTAGGCAACAAATTCATGGCTTCTCCTCTGCTTCGGGAAGCCTTCCTCACCTTTCTCTATTCATCACCAACTCCACGAATATTCCTCTAAATGAGGCAAACTCTTTTCTGACCAATCCATGATGAACCAGTGTCTTTAGCATTCAGCACAAAGCCCATCAACTCTCACAGTCCTCTGAAAGCAGCATCAACATTTATTTATTCTTGGGCATACTTTCTACTTGGGTCATCATTTTTTTTTTTTTTTTGTATTGCTGTGCTATTCCTTGGGTATGTTTGAATGCATAACTACTCTTTGCTTTCAAGGGGGAGCTCCAAAGGGTGTCTTAAACAACAGTGCTTCGACCCTCTAAGCTCCCAGGATACAGGGAGTCAGCAACAATGATGAGGTCAAAATGCCATCCACTTTGGACTGGGGCATTCCTGCTATAAATATTTATGGAACACTGAGCTGAGGGATGTTCTTTCCAAAGTATAAGAGGATGTGGCTGTAACTCACTGAGGTCAGTTCATGGAGATAAAGGATTGTTTCAACCCCAGGTTGATGGACTAGCCTTAGCAGAAAAAAACAACAGACTTGCTTTTGAGAATAGGGGTAAAATGAAACTAATCTCTTCAAGGAAAATTACTGTAAAAGTCCTATAATTTCTTTTGTTTTTCTTTTTTCTTTCTTTCTTTTCTTTTCTTTCTTCTTCTTTTTTTTTTTTTTTTTTTTTTTTTTTTTTTTTTTTTTTTTTTTTTGAGATGGAGTTTCTCTCTTGTTGCCCAGGCTGGAGTGCAATGGCGTGATCTCGGCTCACTGCAACCTCCACCTCCTGGGTTCAAGCGATTCTCCTGCCTCAGCCTCCTGAGTAGCTGGGATTACAGGCACACACCCCCACGCCCGGCTAATTTTTGCATTTTAAGTAGAGACGAGGATTCACCATGGCCAGGCGGGTCTTGAACTCCTGACCTCAGGTGATCCACCCACCTCGGCCTCCCAGAGTGATGGAATTACAGGTGTGAGCCACTGCACCCACCAAGTCCTACAATTTCTAAAATGAGAAGATCAATGGGCTCTTTTAATTTAAGCACTAGGATCTACAAAGTTGCTAAAACTCAAAAGTTGGAAACAATTTTAATGTCTGATAGATAATCAGGACTAAGCAAATTATGGTATATCTGTATAGTAAAATATTATGTGGGCCTTAAAATTGACATTTTATATGATTTTAAATAAGATGGAAAGTGAATCTGTTTTAATATTAAGGTAAAGAATCTGAATAAAATGCACAAAGTCTCTTTGGAAAGATACACATATGAAAACTTTTAACAACTGTATTAATTTTGGTTAGGAAGAAAACTGTGTGATTGGCCGGGCGCGGTGGCTCACGCCTGTAATCCTAGCACTTTGGGAGGCTGAGGCGCGTGGATCACAAGGTCAGGAGATCGAGACCATCCTGGGTAACACGGTGAAACCCCATCTCTACTAAAAATACAAAAAAATTAGCCAGGTGTGGTGGCAGGCACCTGCAGTCCCAGCTACTCGGGAGGCTGAGGCAGGAGAATGGCGTGAACCCGGGGAGGCAGAGTTTGCAGTGAGCCGAGATCGTGCCACTGCACTCCAGCCTGGGAGACAGAACGAGACTCCATCTCAAAAAAAAAAAAAAAAAGAAAAAGAAAACTGGGTGATTGAGGTAGAAAGATCAGAAAGAGCCTCTTCACTCTATGTCTGTTTATTCTTTCCAAGCTTTAAAATATGTAAATATATTACATATTTTAAAGAAATTAAAATAAATACGTAAAATGAAGAATCAGGAAATATGTAGTATAGTTTCAACCGTACAAAAATATACATCGAAAAATATGTAGCAGGAACTATGTTAAAGTGTCAATTGTGACTTTTCTCTAGAATTATAGGGTTTTTATTCCTTCCTCTTATATTTTCCAGAATCTTCAGGTACACAAAGTGTTTTTTTGAGACAGAGTCTCTCTCTGTTGCCCAGACTGGAGTGCAGTGGCATGATCTCGGCTCACGGCAACCTCTGCCTCACGGGTTCAAGCGATTCTCGTGCCTCAGCCTCCCAAGTAGCTGGGTTTACAGGTGTTTGTCACCACTCTCAGCTAATTTCTTTTGTATTTTTAGTAGAGATGGGTTTTGTCACTTTGGCCAGGCTGGTCTCGAATTCCTGACCTCAAGTGATCCACCCGTCTCTGCCTCCCAAAGTGCTGGGATTACAGATGTGAGCCACCGTGCTGGCCACAAAGAGATATATATATATATATATATTTATTTATTTTCAAGACATGAGTCTTGTTCTGTCACCCACGCTGGAGTGCAGTGGCGTAATCTTAGCTCACTGCAACCTCTGCCTCCTGGGTTCAAGTGATTCTCCTACTTCAGCCTCCCAATTAACTGGGACTACAGGCATGAGCCACCACATCCTGCTATTTTTGTATTTTTAGTAGAGACAGGATTTCACCATATTGGCCAGGCTGGTCTCGAACTCCTGACCTCAAATGATCCACCTGCCTCAGCCTCCCAAAGTGCTGGGATTACAAGTGTGAGCCACTGCACCAGGCCACAAAGATATTTTTAATAAAAGTTAATTTTGTTTGAAAATAAGTAGAAAAAAATGAAATTAACAAATTAGGAAACTTGTTTTTAAAAAATTTTTACAGATGTATAGTTTATCATCCAGTTTCTTTCATTTAGTGATAAAGCCATCTTTTGGGAGGATTTTAATAAGTTTATTTACTTATTTTTATTTGACATGATGTTTCACTATGTTGCCCAGGCTGGTCTACAACTCCTAGGCTCAAGTAATCCTCCTGCCTCGGCCTCCCACAGTGCTGGGATTACAGGCATGAACTACCACACCTGGCTTAATAAAATTATTTTTAGCAAATAAAATTTACACAATGCCTTTTCTTCAAAAGTTATACGAAAAATAGAGTTTTCTTTTCATTTGTAGAAAAGACAGTTTTTCACTTAAATAATGAGGCATATTCTGCATTGAGAGTTAATAGAGTTGAATTCTCATATTGGGTCTGCAGTAGTAAGTTACATGATCTCGGACAAATAATTTAACTTCTGTAAGTCAAATAATTCTCAACTCTAAAACAAAGAGCTTGGGCTAGATTATGGTTTCCAAGCATTTGAGGTAATATGGATCTGTGACATTTTCAAAGCTATTGTGGAAATGAACATCAGTTTGCTAACTTGGTTTTGTTAAGAAAAGCCATGATAGAAATAACAAAAACCACAGCTACTGTCCTCTACCATGTATCATGACCATTGTTTTATAAAGCAAAGAAATGTTAACCCACACAAAAAGTAGGAGAGTCATAATTGCAAAATACAGAATAATCCTAACAATTGCATTACTTAGTTTAACCAAAAAACTCATTATAATAATGTTTTTCTCATTTTCTTGCAGACCTGTGTTTGGGCATCATTGGTTTAGATGACAACTATTTCAACACTAAAGTTATATTTCTAAATACAGAAATATCCAACAAACTTTTAAAAAATAGTTGGAGTTTATATTCTGTATATTTATTCATGTCAATCAGTTATAGGTACAATGGTGACTCATACCAATCACTTATGCTCACACAAGACTTGAAAAGACAGTGATACCCTTCAGTCATCAAATAACCACAATAGTT